>NW_025791777.1:1015280-1170467 GCF_000001405.40 Homo sapiens | reverse complement strand
TGTTTGGGTGAGTACATTGGAATGGTTTTCTAGCATTCCTTTGAGATTTTCCACAGTATAAGTTAAGGTAAAAGAACATTTTTACTTGTTTCAGAAAGCATACTGAGGAAGCTTTAATGTTACTATTAAGTAGGTAGGGAAATGACCAATATTATAAACGCAGATTTCCAGCCTCTCCTTTTAATGCTTTCAGAATGATTCCACAAGAACCTTGAAAATGTTGAGTATTTATATTTATTTTATGCCCTTTTATTGTGATTTTTTAAATAAATACTTTTTTTTGGTAAATACTGGAAGTTAATATTCTATAGTTTAGAAAAGCAATTTTGAACACTCAACTAGTGAGCCCATATAAAACTACATAACAGCACAGAATATAGTAAAATAATAATATAATGAACTGGGAGACAAACTAGGCACTGTGTGCCAAGTTTTTCAAGGAAGATACAATTTCAATACCAATGAAATAAACTCCCACAAATTGATTTTTCTTTGTGTGCACTCATCAGTGTAAATACAATTAAGTAATAAAGCCTGTACTTGTTCAGGAAAGATGTTTTCTATTCATAGTCTGATATCTGGGTGCTTTGGTTTCTGATAATTTGTTATGTAAAAACCCTGCAAATTAAAAAAAAAAAAATCAGCAGCTCCAAGTTCATGGGCCCTTATCACAGAGGATTTAAAACCTGTGCATTTTCTTTAAACCGAGAATATTATTACATTTTTTAATCCAGTGATGAGACCATAATAGTTTTCTGAAATAATTCAGAATAATTATATACCTAAAAGTTAATTTGCATGTGCTGTAATTTAAATAAAAGGACAGTTAATTTTTGCATTACAAAACATGAAAAATAAAATCAAACGTTGCATCTTTACTTTTATTACATAAATTCCTTTACATTGTAGTGCCCCCTAGCACCACGCAAGTTTATAAACTGCTTTCAATATTAATTATGTTATTATAATAATAACTAATTTAAGAATGTATTATTAAAGTCAGTAATTTAATAATAATAATTTCAATAATATATGTGTCACAAAAATACCTGAAATTACAATTAGTATGTCCGGTTTACTGATGGGAATACTGTGGCTCAAAAACATCACCTCAGGCAGGGTGTGGTGGCTAACTCATGTAATCCCAGCACTTTGGGGGTCCAAAGCAGGTGGATCGCCTGAGATCAGGAGTTTGAGACCAGCCTGGCCAACATGGTGAAACCTCATCTCTACTAAAGTACAAAACCGGTCCGGCATGGTGGTGCACACCTGTAATCCCAGCTACTCGGGGGGCTGAGGCAGGAGAATCACTTGAACCCATGAGGAGGAGGTTGCAGTGAGCCAAGATCACACCACTGCCCTCTAGTCTGGGTGACAGAGTGAGAGTCCTTCTCAAAAAAAAAAAAAAAAAATCATCTCACCCAAATCATGTAGCTACAAAGTTATGGTTTAGAATAATTCAACTATTTTACTGAAATCAAAACTTTTACTATTAACCAATCAGTTACACTCAGCTTTGTGTAACTGAATACCAAATAACATCATGTTCCAGTAATTTTCATTTGAGTGAGAAGGGAGCACACTGGTACCCTGGACACACCCAGATACACTAAATCAGAATCTCTAAAACTTGGTGACTGTAAAAATAATTTTATTCTGAGTCTGAAACATATGCTCCGTGTTTCTTAGCAAGTTTCTGCAGCACAGGAGTCAGGTGAGGGAAGGTAGCGCCCCACTCCTGGTTATGGAAGGCAGAGGGTGAGTTCTGCTGCACATATGAAGCTATGGAGAGAGCAAGACTGCATAGGAGCAGGGTACAGTCTCTGGATATAGAAGACAGATAAACCTGGGTTATAGTTGACCCAGTGGAAAATTATAGGCCAAGAATAAGTTTCCAGATACCTTAATAGGACTGGGCATTTGATAAATTTTGAAAGTTCTCTGATAACTCGTATGTGCAGTGTAGGCTAAGAACTCATGGAAACAATATAGACATTTTTTGCCTCTCAGGGATATGCAGACACCCCAGTTCAGATATGATGTCTTCATGATCATCAGAAATCCAGATGGCTATTATCTTGTTGCTTTGCACCTCCAAGTACTGCTGCTTCTCATGTTGCCCCATGGCTGCCCCAGATCTAGCCATCAGAGCTGCCTTTCCAAGAAGGAAGAAAGCACAGAGATAGGACATGCCCCCTGCATGTAAGTCAGCTTCTCAGAAGTTACACGCGTTACTTCCCCTTACACAACATAGGTCAGAAATTGGTCACATGTGTCATGCCCTATGTTAAGAAAAGATTGGGAATATAGCATTTATTCCTGGTGATCATGTGTCCGGCTAAGCATTAGAGGACATTTTTACTGATGGCGAAAGGGTCAATGGAGATTGCAGTGAACCAGCCATCTCTGTCCAATAGGCACTTTATTTGGTGACAATAATTATAGGAAAGGTAGCACTAGACAGTTTTAATTCATTGAAGTTATTTTGGGTTTTTCTTGTTACTTTGTTTGTTTGCTTATTTGTTTTATCCTTCAGAGAAATGCTAGAAATTTAGTAATTAAATTAAATATTTCATTGAACACAAAAGCATAACATTATGGAAAAGAGTAACTGTTGTTTAGTTTTATTTATATATGTTAGTGTTTATACTGACTAATCTCACCAATGGAGACAGACAATTTCTAAGATTTATTATAGGCATTGTGTTTGGATCTTTCTTTCAGAAAAGTAAAAATCAGCTTAACCCAAAAATTATTTTAATAATAATTGGCATATCCAGCTTCATCCATGTCCCTACAGCGGACATGAACTCATACATTTTTATGTCTGCATAGTATTCCCATGGTGTATATGTGCCACATTTTCTTAATCCAGTCTATCATGGATGGACATTTGGGTTGGTTCCAAGTCTTTGCTATTGTGAATAGTGCCGCAATAAACATATGTGTGCATGTGTCTTTATAGCAGCATGATTTATAATCCTTTGGGTATATATCCAGTAATGGGATGGCTGGGTCAAATGGTTTTTCCAGTTCTAGAAGCTGGAAACCATCATTCTGAGCAAACTATCGCAAGGACAGAAAACCAAACACCGCATATCCTCACTCATAGGTGCAAATTGAACAATGAGAACACCTGGACACAGGGTGGGGAACACGACACACCAGAGCCTGTCGTGGGGTGGGAGGAGGGGGCAGGGATAGCATTAGGAGATGTGCCTAATGTAAATGACGAGTTAATGGCTGCAGCACACCAACATGGCACATGTATACATATGTAACAAACCTGCACATTGTGCACATGTACCCTAGAACTTAAAGTATAATAAAAATAAATAAATAATAATTGGCATATCCAGAACCCTTTGCTATCTTCTGCTACATTTGCACAAATTCACAGCTATTTGAATACCAGTCATTGTCAATCCTGGTCAGCTTTGAAAATACTGTTCCTTAGTTTTGCTCTCTGCCTAATTTACTTGGATTGAGGGGAAACCCAGGAATCAGTTGATTTGAGTACGTAGCCAATGTTGTAAAGAACTAATTGCTTTAACTTCTAATAGAAAAATATCACTATTTTTTTAAAAAAGTTACATAATTCATGTGTAGGAACATAATCCTTTTAGCCTAGAAGTAAAAAATGATATAGTCTTGCCCTATAGCACTGATCATGGCCATATATAATTTACAATAACCAAAATAATGACAATATTTTGGTACAGCATGCTCTATTAATTTGAATGCTCACCAGTTAACACATAATTTAATGTGATATGTATTAGGTTATAGAAAACCATGAGGTAAAAATCATAGGCTGCATTGAACTTTCTACTTCCCCAACTTTGCCTCATTATAGGGAGGGATGCAGCCCTAGAGTTCAAGAATTCCATAAAGACCAACCTGAAATTCTGGTGCCTGGCATCTTGTCACACCTTCTTCCAATACACAAACATCAAGGAGTGTAGAAGTTGAACATGGTCTGTTGTCACTGCCTCAAAGAATCCACTTCTAGCTTGTTCACACTAGGGTGTGAACATTTAAAGAGGGTAGGGAAGAACCACCTGGGTGGATTTTCACTGGCGATCTTATAATAAACTCTCAAAATCCCAGATTGAGACAAGGGAAGGGATGCTCAGTCGTATGTAATTAGGAAAAAGAGAGGGATTTTGAACCCACCCCTACATCATCTAAGTCAAATAGAGCCAGTGTAACTGTTGGGACCGTTGCAGGTAGGGTGTGCTAGGTACCAAGCCACAGTTAGGTAACCAATGACTTTTACAAGCTTATTTTCATCTCAGTACACCACATGCTTCATGTGCCACGTGCATGTATGTAAGTTACACATCTAAGATTATATTATTGGGTTACACTACCATGAATTATCTAAGGAAAACAGAATGATCATCATTGTGTGTGCAAAGACGACTTCTGAAATTAATACCAACAAGAGATTTCTTCTTTGCATATTTTCAAGCAGAAAGTGGACTAAATTATATCATTGGAGCATGACGTCTCAAAAAATATTTATTGCCAAATAATTCTTTACTGCTAAAAATTATTTATTGCATGAAATAGAAAAGATCTGAGACTGAAACTTCCATTTAAAAACATGATTTAAAAAAATAGAGTAATTACATAACAATTATGAAACTCAGATGCCAGAGTCAGAAATCAAGAAATTAACTATGTCAAGCAATTACAATATGATTACAAAGGCCCTTATATATTCATACAAGCTTTTTGCATTTTTTGAGCTAATTTTATGAAAAACATCAAAAGCCAGAAAACTAATGCTTAATGTATATTTTAAGGCCAAGAACAATATAGAAAAATTAATTTTCTCCTTAAAGTTTTTTAAGATATTTAAAGTAAACATTTTAAAAATTATTTAATCTGTGACCCAATTTGAATCACTTTGCTCTTCAGATTCCGATGTCTCCACAAAAATTCCGATGTCTCCTTGAAATTAGCTGATACATTATAAGAAATGAATGACTGTCCTGTCCTATTTGGGATACACATAAAAGTTACCCCAAAGGTTTAATTAGATAGTGAAGTACAAAAATACAGATTTGTAAAATATTAAATATATAAACAATATAAATCTCTATTTTGACAAGTGACTTGATAAACTAGGTTAAATAATTGTTAATAGAGTTGGGTAAAGGCAGTGATGTTGGTAAACTAGTGATCCAAATGAAAAGAAAGTCGGCTGGGCACGGTGGCTCACGCCTGTAATCCCAGCACTTTGGGAGGCCAAGGCGGGTGGATCACAAGGTCAGGAGTTCGAGACCAGCCCGGCCAATATTGTGAAACCCCGTCTCTAATAAAAAATACACAAATTAGCCCAGCGTGGTGGCATGGTGCCTGTAGTCACAGCTACTCAGGAGGCTGAGGCAGGAGAATCGCTTGAACCAGGGAGGTGGAGGTTGCAGCGAGCTGAGACCACACCACTGCACTCCAGACTGGGCAACAGAGTGAGACGCCATCTCAAAAAAAAAAAAAAAAAAAAAAACCAGAAAAAAAGAAAGTCTTGATACATGGTGTATGCTGCATGTATGTAAGTTACACTTCAAAGAGTAAGTCCTCCCACCATAGCTGTTTTCAAGTTATTACCATTTCAAGATACTAACTCCTGTGAATAGGAGGGTGAAGTCTTTAAATTACAGGAAATTTCAATAAAAGCCTGAGGCAAAGATATTTCAAGGGTTTTGGTTAAACAAAAGACACATTGGCTGGCATGAACAAGAGGAATGCACTATCGAAACCATCTTAGTCAATGGCAGGAAGACAGTGTTATGAGTCTACTGGTTACAGAAAATCTTTGTTTTAAAAACTCAGGTTTATCGAATTAAAATTTATATATGCCAAAAGTCATCTTTTTAAGTATGCAGTGTGTTGAAAACATAGATGGTTATATAACAAATACCATCCTCAAGATATAGAACAGTACCATCACCTAGAAAAATTCCCTTTTGTGCCTTTTGAATCAGTATTTCTGCTGCCCTCAGTCTTTGGAAATCGCTGTTCTTTGTCCCTATGGTTTTATATTTTCTAGAATGTCATACACAAGGGAGCAAACAGCATCCTGAATAGGCCTTTAAATCTGGCTTTTTAAATAGCATAATAAATCTGAGACACATTCATGTTGTTATGTTATCAGATTTGTTTCTTTTTCTTCCTAACGTGATATTAAATAGATACAGTATATAACTTTTTGACTATTCACCAGTTTTTGAAATTATGAATCATATGGTTAAAGTCACCAACAGATATACATATGTATATTACATATATGTATAATAATGTATGTATATATAATATATGTATATATACATATATGTATATAGTATACATATAAATCAGTGGATTCTTCAATTTTTTTATTGTCAAAATGATTTTTCCATTATAATTCCTTTGCTTCTCTGTTGAAAGTTTTAGAATGAGCTTGTTTGTTAGTTGCAAATATCCTGTTAGGAATTTTAACTGGATTGAATTTTTGTATTGAATTTTTTGTTTGGTTTGAACAGAATTAATTTATTGTCAATATTGGCTACCAAGCTCTTTACTTATTTACTTCTTCTTTGATTTCTTTTACCAGTGTTTTTTTAGTTTTTGTTACCCTTTCTCCATGTTTTTTTAGATTAAGAATTTAATGTTTCTTGTGCTACTTTAAATGTAACTTTAAAAAATTCTAATTTCCAATTGTTCATTAATAGTGTTGTAAAGTAGCGGGTCCCCCACCAGGGAATTTAAGGGCATATGTTGACTGCTTGAGTCCTGAAGGCTAGATGGTGAGCAAAGTTCATGGTGCTCAGCCGAGGAGCAGATGTCCCTGAAAACCAAAACATCCGGGAGCATATCTAGGTACATACCAAGAAGAACAGTTTCATCACATGTAGTAAGCAAAGAGCCAGAAAAGTAGCTTTGGCCGGGCGCGGTGGCTCATGCCTGTAATCCCAGCACTTTGAGAGGCCAAGGCGGGCGGATCACGAGGTCAGGAAATCAAGACCATCCTGGCTAACGTGGTGAAACCCCGTCTCTACTAAAAATACAAAAGATTAGCCGGGCGTGGTGGAAGGCGCCTATAGTCCCAGCTACTCGGGAGGCTGAGGCAGGAGAATGGCGTGAACCTGGGAGGCGGAGCTTGCAGTGAGCCGAGATCCCGGCACTGCACTGCAGCCTGGGCGACAGAGCGAGACTCCGTCAAAGAAAAGAAAAGAAAAGAAGAAAGAAAAGAAAAGAAAAGGAAAAGGAAAGGAAAGGAAAGGAAAGGAAAGGAAAGGGAAAGGAAAGGAAAGGAAAGGAAAGGAAAGGAGAAAAGAAAAGAAAAAAGTAGCTTAAAAGCAGCTTAGAGGAAGATGGTGGGCAGCAGGCGGATCTCTGGAGTTATCCCGCTGCCCTTTACGTAAGTCCTAATAAACTCATCTTCTCATGAAGCTGGACTTGTCTGAGTCCTTCTTTGTTATTTCAGCACTATCTCTTTGGCAGAGGGATGTTCTTCTACACAGGTCTGGGTTTTTCCTGCAACAATTATATATAAAAAATAATTCTGTATATTAACATTATAGTGTTACAGTGCATAGTGTGAAATTACAAAACTCACAATTTATTTCTAGTAGCTTCACTTTTAATAATTTTAATTATTTTGTACTCACAATTTATTTCTAGCAGCTTCACTGCTAATAATTTTAATTATTTTGTACATAATGGAATACTGTGCATAGACCATCCACGAATCAAATAGAGTTTTATTTCTTCGTATCCAATTTGTATGCCTTTTGTTTATTTTTCTTACTTTAGTACACTGGTTAAAATTTCCAGTATACAGTTAAATAGTTCTTGAGGACAGGTTTCCTGTACTTCTTTTCTTCGTGCCTGTGTATAACGTATATTTAACTATATAATACATACAACACAACTATGTTTGTCTTCATATAATTTTTTACCTTTTTTTTAGTTTGTTTACGTAGCCCCTATATCTCTAGAAATGTTTCTTGGATTTACGATTTGATTGCCTTCACTTCTTTTGGAAAATTCTCATTCATTTTGTTTTTAAGTATTTATCATCCTTGTTCTCTTTCATGAATCCGTTCAAGTTAGGCATCCAGAGCTGTCCTTCAGCTCTTGGATGCCATGTTCTGCTATTTATCACTCTTCTTGTTTCTTACTTGTATTTGTTATTCAATTTCTATGTTTTTTATCTTCAACTTTACTGTTCCATTCTTTATTCATATCAAGTCTTCTGATGAATTACTTCATTGGTGTTTGCATTTTGAGGTAGATACAACAGTATATCTATTGAGACATTAATTAGTGCAATTAAACCGAAGTTTAACACATTTTAAGTAAAAATTTATCCCACTATCGCATAAAACTTGTGAAAGTTAAAGTCATCAGCACTTAATATTGTCTGTCATGCGAGGCAATCGGCACTCAAGTGGCAAATGCACTCATTTAACTCTAAATTGGTACTTTAGTTAATCTCTCATATTGATTTTTTTAACCCTTAAACACTGGCAAAGAGAAGCATACACCTAAAGAGAGATTTTTTACATTATTGTTTATTTAGTTAGTTTTTAGAAACAAGGTCTCCTCTCTCTCCCAGGCTGGAGGGCTGTGGTGCAATCACAGCTCACTGCAGCCTCAAAATCCTGGGCCCAAGCATACCTCCCACCTCAGCCTCCCAAGTAGCTGGGATTACAAGTGCCTGCCTCAGTACCCGGCTACTTTTAAAACATTTTTTGATACACATAGAGTCTCAGTTTGCTGCTCAGGCTGGTCTCAAACTATTGGTCTCAAGCAATCCTCTTGCCTCAAGCTTCTAAAGTGCTGGGATTACAGGTTAACCAGGACACCTGGCCTAGAGGTTATTTTTTGTTGTTTTAATTTCTTTATTTAATAGTCTGTGTATTTAAATTTTGTTGACAATAATCTTAACAGCAACAATAGTATCTACTTGAAAGGTATGCATTCTATATATAATTCCTTAGATATAAATTTAAGTATAAATATTTGAAAACTCTTTAATTTTTTAATATTGTGTCCCATTTCTTAAAAAGGAGAGAAGCTATATTAACTTTTGAATTCAGTACACAGTTAACAGTTCTTTCATTTAATATGTGATAATATAAATTTAACAGTGAAACTTTCAAATACTCATATTAACTTACCCTGATAGATTTTATAGCTTTAATATAAAACTTCTCATAAATGTAAAATTTGACAAAGCACAATATTCTCCAGGAAGTTAGAAAAGTAATATAATTTTCTGTCTCTCAGAATGTGTTTTCTAACCTCTAAATATAAATTGATGGACTAATCTTTTAAAATTCAGAATCAAATATAATTGCTTTGGTTTGATCATTGAGAATTCTTTTTCCATTCCATCATTTTATAGTTTTTGCCTAAATAAAATACTTAAGGAAGTTATTGTTATGTTGTATTTGAAAGATGCCTGATGGAGAAACATTCATAGTTCTTTTCTATCCTTATGAAAGGTTATATGAAAACATATATATATGTGTATATATAAACATGTGGATAAAGTACAGAAAATCCTATCATTGCCTCTGACTCAAATGGTAATCTTTAATATAAAGATTTGAAACTTTCATGGAACAGTATATCAGAACTTTATTTCCAATTTGTTTATGTATACTTAACGTATATCCTAAGTATCAAGAAATCACATTCAATTAACATATACATTATAAAACAATTCTTATATGATAATTCTAATAAGTAAACATGATTTTAGTGGTAGTAATTATTCAATCAAATATTCATATTTTAAAGATTAAATCTTCATATTTTAAAGCACATTACATCAGTTTACAATTCGATATTGACTACTGGATAGAATTTATCAATGAAATTTTGAATATGGCATGGTTAATGCAGATCATGTGAATTAAATTGCAAGGCAGAGAGCTTTTAAATTAAAAAAATAAGCTGGTTTATAAATCCAGTGCTAGATAGTTAATAAAAGCAATACATATAAATCTCCCAGACACCTCCCAATCTTGCTATTTTGAAATATTTTCCTCTTTTTAATATTATTTAAATAAAAAAATTATCTGCCTTTAAGCAACAAAACATGAACTCTTGGTAGAAAATTCACTAATTGACATAGGTATCTAGACTTATAAACCTGTAAAAAATGTGAAATAGAAGGCATAAAGTATTTGAGTCAATACATTACTAACTAAATCTTTTGATTAAATAAGCTTATAAAAAAAGTAAACGTAAACACATAAGTCTTTGTATAAGCACCCCTACATTTTTAAAAGTATATTTGCCTTTTCATAAACTCAGTTGAGTAGTGGTAACATTCATCATCACAACTTTTTAGAGGCAATGAAATTGATGTCATTTGAGGTCTTCATCTCATATTTATCTTTTATTTTCTTATTTTGTCATGTTTAGCAAAGGATAGTAAAAGTAGAGGATCATTCAACCCAGAAATACAGGGAAACTGATCCTTGTAAATAGCACCCTTTATAGACTCATGGATATTTTAAGAGCAAGATGTGCTAGAAAGGAAAATAAGGCAATCTCTTAATGCTGTGCCTTTTCTTCCATTACATTTTTAGATTATATATTATCCCTTGTTTATTTCTGTAGCTGGGGAAAATATTTTTATTGAAATAGATTGTTTTTTGAAGTTTGCTATATTAGGTAAAAATAAATACCAAACTTCTCTGTCTTCAGTTTAATAGAAAAAAAAAATCCCTTGTTACTCTGTTTCTGCCTTACTGTTAGTAGAAAGATTTATGATTAAGTAATTTTAGTAGGACATTAAGAACAAAAACATGAACCAAAATACTTTTTAAAATAAATATACACATTTTTACTATATATAGACACATATATAAAAGTATATATACATATATGTATATATGTGACTTCAATAACAGGAAAATAGATTTTCCAGATTAACAATCTAAACATCTCATCCATAACAAAAGGTTAGGCTCTATACCAATGCTTGAATGAAAACTGTAATATCATCCATTTAAAAAAATGCCAACACATGCATAATTTTAGGCTGTAAAAATGAAAATATTTCAGAATTGATTAACAAATGGTGGAAGTTAAAGTTGTCTCTTCCCGACCTGCACTTTGTTTTCTGTCTCTTGCCTTTTCTCACATTTTATTTTTCCTTCCTATCTCAACAATATACCCCACCTGCAGTGTGCCCAATGTGGACACATACCTGCTTTTTTCAGGCACTGTTTTGGACAACATTTCCCTACTGAGCATTAAATCACTTTTTCTTAAATATGTACTAAAGATTTCCATGGCTGAAAAGCTAGTTCCACATACATTAATAATCCTTGAAGAATTAAATCAGATACAACCTCTACATCAGCACAATATTTCAAGGTGGTAAGGGAGTGCTACTGCTGGGTTCGTCTTCACTTAATAACTTTATTAATGATGTGGATGAGTGAACAAATATGAAAAGAAAATTTATAGGTATTACATACGTAGATTCTGCAGAAACAAATAGGATGGAAGGTAATGACTGTAGAATGACCTAGAGAGGTTAAAAAAAGAAAATAGTAGTCCAATATTATTCCACTTTTAAGTAAATGAGACCATTAAGCTCTTTAAAATAACCAGTAAATAAAAACTCAAAGCAATGATAGCTACATCAAAAAGTGAGGGAAGAGGGGAAATTATATGTTGCAATGTTACAGAGTACATTAAAGCATTCAGTATATTTCCTGAAAATTTCATAAGCACAGTTCTTAATGTTTATTCATAAATAAACAAAACCACACCAAAAGCCATAGTTCATTTGTTTCTAACTAAGAGTACAAATTATTTATGCGGAAAAGTACATATAAGCTCACATAAATAACACGAATAATGTTTTCATTGTGAAGATATTCATAACGTTCAAATGACAAGGTCTTAGGAACTCTGCACCTTCATTAATTTTAATCAATATTTAACAATCAAGATTGTTTTCAATAAATCATGATCTAATAATGAAAGGGGGAAACTATTTGTTTTAACTTTCATTTCAGTTTTACCCTTTACTCACAAGTTGAAATTCATTCTCACTCTTTGCAAACTATTTTGAAACACTTCCAGGTAAAATTCATATAAATATTTTATTTTTCCTAATTTTTGGAAAAATTTTAGACTATTACAATCTGAGTTAATAGCCTAGTTCCTTTGTTGATCCAGTGTAAATAAATATTTCTCTTTTCTTGCTGTATTAAAAAACCCACAGTCTCTATAGCCAAGTCTATATCTATATCGATATCTATCTGTATCTGTATCTATCTATGTGTATCTCTATCGATGTATGCATACACAAATAATATCTGTGGAAGAATTTTTTTTCATGTAGTGTAATATCCACAGCTCTTCTACTTTAACCATAACTCAAGTTAATAACATTTTATTGTCTTTTGTTAGTTTTACCTGGAAAAGAAAGCACATCATATACAATATTATAAAATAGAAATAAAACTAAATATAGTGTTTTAGAAGGTAACAAAGTTTTATGTTTAAGGATATTAAATAAAATCTATTTCTTCCAGTATATTTTTTCACAATCTGTCTTAAATGGAATCTTCAGATATCTTAACAAGTTGACTACTAGATTTTGTAGTGTATTCCAATCAGATATCTATCTGAGGCCACTCTTTTTTTTAATAATCTAGGCTTCTGTAGACAATGTGGAAACATTTTTAAAATGATGACGCCCTCCTTTTCCTTCGTAGCTAAATTAGTACACAAAATTCTAAATATTTCCTTAGTTTTAATAATAATAAAGCAATATAAGATTCACCCTCTGTATTCAATTCTTTGTTACCAATTCTGCTATAATTAGAATTTTTGAAATTCTTAGTTATAACCTTTATTTTTGATAATTGCATTTAAAATGCAATGATAAAGCAAATAATTAAAATGCTAGGAATAAAATTGTCCTTTATTAGTTTATCATAAAGTTCCATAAATTTCAGCTCTCCTTGATTTCTCACTATTCTAGTTCATCAATTTTGTAATTAATCATTAAACATTATTCTTTCTCTATATTAAAAATATTAGCAATTAACAAATCCCTATTTAATATTATATTCATTGTTTTAGTTTGATGCTTTTTTTTTTTAGTGATATGTACAGAAGACAAAAAAATGATGTGCAGCCTTTGTGTTCCATTTATTGTTGCGTAAAATAAAATTTCATCAATCTTGGATAAAAATTCTTAGGCCTATGATTATATTTGAAGGAAACACTAACTTCTGACATGATTATTTAGAACACACATTTTCTTAACTTGTCTTCCATTTTAATGGAGCTATAAATAGCTTTGGCAAATTTTTCTGCTTTGCTGTTAATTTAACTCAGTAGATTTATTGAAATTTTAAGACACCACGTTACGCAAGATTTAGGGTATGTGACTACTCTTTCCTCCTGTGTGGAGGTCGACATTGCCACAGTCTAATATCATAGTTCCCCTAAGTGGTCCCCTCCCAGAAGTGAGTTGCAAGTTCCTGCTGACTTTCAGAATTATTTCTCCATGTTTATGTCATTTTGATGCAAGAGAGGTCAATACACAGGTATGTCATCAAAATAATATTTAGACTATGTCATTCCCACAAAAAACAACTTATATGCCATGTTTTACTCACTACCAAAGTCTTGTTGAATACTACTTGTTTCATTCCTCTAGCCAGGAGACAACCTGGCAGGTATACTGCCTGAGCACCAAGAAGTTATCATATAATTTGCGTTTCACTGACCTCTCTTACCTTGTCAAATTACCCACAATAATTTTGGTAAAGTTGCATCTAACTTGGTATGGACTAAAAATACTTGCGTCGCCCCCAAAATTTGTATGTTAAAACCCTAATTCCACTGAGATGATATTTGGAAACAGGGCCTTTGGGAAATAATTAGGTCATGAGTCTCTCTCTCTCTTTCTCTCTCTCTCTCTCTCTCTCTCTGTCTGGTCTCTCTCTCTGTCTCTTTATGAGGACATGACAAGGAATGGAGGTTTTACCTGTAACCATTGACTGGCACCTTTATCTTGGACTCTCAGCCTCCAGAACTCCGAGAAGTAAATTTCTATTGTTTAAACCAGTCAGTGTATGTTGTTTTTGTTGTTGTTATAGCAGCTTGAATTAAGACACAATTTTCCTAAAACTTAAAAATGTCAGATTGGTGGATAAAATTGTATTTCATTGTGCTTTTTTCTTCAAGCCTTATACCTCTGACTCCAAACTCATAGTAACCAGTGTAAGACATGGTAGAATCTTTCCACTAGTGCTTGGGACACTATTTATAGTATCTACCCAATCTAATTTTAATGAAAAAGTTGAAGGTTGGTATAAAAAAATGTTTATCATCTAGGAGTTCCAGGCTCAATTCAACATACTTGTGATGGTCTCATGTAGTAGCAGTGACAGTCAACTACAAATGGTGCCTGAACAGGGACATTTCAGAGACTATCAGGGACATACAGAGACCTGAAAGGACCTGGAGGGACCTGAAGAGGCCTGCAGGGATAAACAGAGATAAGTGGAGGTAAGTACAGAAAAGTAAGTAGAGATAAGTAAGTAGAGAAAAGTAGAGATAGGTAGGGAAAGACGGGGACTTGCAGGAACTAACAGGTACCATAGGGACAGACAGAGACAGATAGGAATAGATAAAGACTAGCAATATAAGGTCAGTGCCCTGAAGAGGTACTGGTCTGTGTCCTAAAGAGGTACAAAAGTAGAGACTAGCAAAGACTAGGAGAGATTTGGAGGAACAGACAGGGACAGATAGGGACAGATAGGGTCCTATAGGACTAGAGCGAGGAAGGTCTGCTGGAACAGAAAAAAACTAAAACCAACTAGATGAACGAGAAAGCCCATTACAACTCTGTTGGCAGCGACATAAGGTTAGTGCTCTAAAAATGATGGATGAATTTTCAGAATTTATCTAATTTTCTCCTCCATCAAAGTTAAAAATTAGCTGTTTGATTTACTATACTCAGCTAAAATTCTCTGGCATTTTATCTTGATATTACTGACATCCTGGAAGGAGTATCTTGTTTGTTTGGCAAGTGGATTTTTTTAAAAAAATAAATTATTGCTTCATAATTTTTATTGTTTATATTTCAAGGTTATGAAAAATGCCCTTAAAAGATAAATGGTATATATATATATATATATATATATATATATATATAAAATATATATTTTAATCTGCATGTAGTATACCTGTTGTGACAAAAATAAACGAAAGCTTAATTTCTTGCCAAGTTGTAGACTATTACAGTATATTATTTTAAGCATTATGCTATACATACTTCTTTTGAAAATTTATGGAGTACATGAGATGTTTTGATACATGCATAATAATCACATCAGGGTAAATTGAATATGCATCACTTCACACAGTTATCCTTTGTGTTACAAACAATCTGATTATACTCTTCTAGTTATTTTTAAATGTACGATTAAATTATTTTTGACTATAGTCACCCTGTTGTGCTAGCAAATGCTAGGTCTTATTCATTCTTTCTAACTATGTTTTTGTACCTATTAGTGTGCCCCGCTTTCCTCCCAAACCCTCACTACCCTTCTCAGCCTGTTAACCTTTATACTGTTTATCTCCATGAGTTCAATTGTTTTAAGCCTTAGCTCCCACAAATAAGTGAGAGCATCCGAAGTTTGTCTTTCTGCGCCTGGCTTGTTTCACTTAACATAATGACCTCCAGTTCTATCCACATTGTAGCAGATGACAGGAACTCATTGTTTTTTATGGCTGAATGGTATTCCATTTTGTATATGTACTATATTTTCTTCATTCATTCATCTCTTGATGGATACTTAGGTTGATTCCAAATTTTGGCTATTGTGAGTAGTGCTGAAATAAACATGGAGTGCAGATATCTCTCTGATATACTATGTCCTTTCTTTTGGTTATACACCCAGGAGTGGGATTGCTGGATCATATGATAGCTCAATTTTTGCTTTTTGAGAAACCTCCAGACTGTTCTCCTTAAGGGTCATACTAATGTACATTCCCACTGACAGTGTGCAAGGGTTCCTTTTTCTGTATATCCTCGCCAACTTTTGTTATTGCCTGAATTTGGGATAAAAGCCATTTTAACTGGGGCCTCTTAACTTTTTCCCCACACATTTCTTAATTCCTTGATGAAAAATGCTAAAAGATAAGACACTTTCATACTTCCTAGATACAGTTATTCATTCACTCTTTTATTTTTTTAAGTTTCTTATTTAATAGATATGTATTAAATATTTACCTTGTCTCAGCCAATGTAATGTGTGACAGGCATACAAAGATGAATATAGCAGAAAGTTTATGCCTCTTAAGAAGCATAATGAAGTCATTTAAACAAATAATAGCTACAAATTTTGATGAGCACTGTCATAGAGGTAAGAATATTATGGTGGGGTGGGATGGAAGAAATTAAAATATGTCAATCTACTTTGCGTTGTAAGGAAAATCTTGGCAAAGAAGATACATGTTACGATTTGGCTCTGTGTCCCCACCCAAATCTCAACTCGAATTGTAATCCCCATGTGTCATGGGGAGGGACCTGGTGGGAGGTGATTAGCTCAAAAGGGTGGTTTTCTATGCTGTTCTTGTGATAGTGAGGGGGTTCTCAGGAGATCTGATGGTTTTATAAGTGGCAGTTTCCCCTGCATGCTCTCTCTCTTACCTGCCACAGTGTAAGACTTGCCTTGCTTTCCCTTCACCTTCCACCATGATTATAAGTTTAATTATAAGTTCACTTATAAGTTCAGCCATGTGGAATTGTGAGTCAAGTAAGCCTCTTTTGTTTATAAATTATCCATTCTCAGGTAGTATCTTTATAGCAGTGTGAAATGGACTAATAAGATAAACTTCAATAGAATACTTAAGAAGTTGTGGTAATCAACTAGTTTATGAATGGAAAGAATCATTTTATCAAAGGAAATTAAGAGCATAACAATGTGGCATTAAAACAGATTAGGGAGTTCTGAGGGTTGTAAGGATGATGGAACAGGTACATAATAGGACAATATGGGAGAATAATTAAAGAAGTCCTGAGGGTAGGTCACTGAGGCCTTATATGTTATAAAAGGGGGATTTTACTCTAGGAATTGGGAAAGTGTTTGAAGAAAGAGAATAGTGTGATTATATTTGCTTTTTAGTTTGAAAAGAAGTAGCCTGGAAATGAATGAGATTACAGCCAGAGAAGAGAAAGAATATATTTTGATGAAAGAATATATTTGGGTACTGATAGAATAGTCCGGGTTAAAGATGATTTGGACCCTGGCACATGGAGGATGCTGTGGGGTCATAAAGGAAGAAATGGTAATAAAAATAACTAAAGTTTTATTGGATGAAGTTTTCAAGCCAACAAAGCATAAAACACAGACACAAAAACGACGTCTAAAATGATTTCTTAGTTTCTTAGTCATGTATTAGGTGTCAACCAAGACAGGGAATACAGACAGAGCAGTAAAGAGTTCAGCCCCAGACTCAATCCTATATGTGATTTTTGGGCCCATCCATAAACAATGACAAAGACTTGACCAAGTGGGTCCCACAGGGAGAGCTGCCCTCCCCACACTAGTGCATAGTCCTCTAATGGCAGTTTCAGTAAGGGCTGCAGGGCCATGCTCACACACAGATCAGCATCACTTGACTGGTGCCTCCCCTGGAGGCCTCTCCACTGTGGGACCTTGGCAGACCTTCCCCAGGCATGTTTGCCCAAGACCTCCTTTTCATGGGGAGAGGAGGAGGAGTCTTGAAGACAATTGTCTTCCTTCTGATTCAATACTCAGTGCTTTTCCGCTCCCAGCCTTTTCCTGACCTTCCATAAAACTGCAGGCAGGAGCCTGTTGTTCAGGGTTCCTTTGATAGTGAGACAACTCCACATCTGTGCTGACCCATGTGATCCTTGATAGAGCTGTTTCATGAAGGAAAAAAAGGATGGGGACTGGACCGTCAGGGCTTTTTCCAGTTTAACCTCAAAGGTTTGTTAATGTCCTTTTGTCTTGATGTCTTAATTGCCTACTCCAACACCTGGCTCTCTCTCCAGAGTAGTTAAGCTCCTGATGGCTGGGGATAAATTTAATGACTACTGTTTTGTATAAGTTGAGGTTAATCTAATTAATTTACCTAGAGGGAAAATTCTGACCTCTATCTCTGAGACCTCATCTAAAACACAGAGGTCATGAAGATAAATCTGGCTTCTGCCTTCAAGGAGCTTACAGTCTGGTGAAGATGATAGCTGGATAGCTAGACATAACAATAAAACCACAGCTGTTCCCTTGTGATAATTTCTGTTATGAGTTATGTACATTGGAATATGAAAAATATATAAATGGTACATAACCAATTCTAGGAGGTCAGGGCAAGCTTCCTGGGAGAAATGCTGTCTATAGGTAGACACAGAGAGACAAGAATCAAATCCTCTTCTGAAGAAGGGTTAAATAAATCTCAGGCAGATAGGCTATGCATGACCTGCTTCTTTTATCTGTCATTTTTGTTGTTCAGTTACTTGCTAAATTTTAAGAATTTTATATATATATATTATATTTATAATATATTATATATATAATATACATGTATATATATATATATATATATATCTTCTACATATCAGTGCTCTGTCAATTCAGCCTAATTCTGGCAAAAGCATTAAGGACTTCAATATTTACCAGGTTTGAAAGGGGAGCAGTCCTTTGAATTAGAATTATTTGAAAAATGTAGGGCTATTTTGAAACAACTACCCAATTGAAAATGCATGGACACTATAACTATTATACTTGCAGATGCATACAAAAATACTTTTATTGTCACATGGGCACAAAGATGTATATTGAAAGCTGTTCACTGAAACAGTATTTATAATAATGAAACCTGGAAGCAACATATCTCTTAATGGGGATATAGACAAGTAAAGTACAACATATACATGTTATAGAAAAAAATGCAGCCTTCTCAAAAATGGGTAAGCTGTATAGATATAGAAAAGAAAAAAGCATTGTATAAATAATATGTACACTTTAATAAAAGTTGTACTAAATTTTAAATGTAATATAAATATCATACCTTCTATATATATAAAATTATCAAAAAGACTGAATTATAATACATGAAGAGTAGGAAAAAATAGTTGCACTGAATTTTATATTTTCTGAATGTTTAAATCTTTCCACACAATATGTAATAATTATACTTTTAAAATGAAATACACTAAGCAATAATAAGGAGCTGACCACTGATGTACTCAATAAGAACAAATTTCAAAAAACAAGATGCTGAGATAAAGAAGACAGAAACAAAATAATGCACATGTATGATGTCACTTATACAAAATTTAGAAAAGATATATCCTGTACATAATGACAGAACCTCCATCAGTGGTTGCCTGTGATCAGGGATTGAGATGGTGAGGGCATGTGAGAAGTTTTCATATATGATGGAAATGTGCAGGGGATATACAATTGTCAATATGCATCAAACTGTCTAATTTAATATATGTTTTATTGTATATGATAAATTGATTTTCTAAAAATCATATACACTAACTCAAACTTCTTATAGCTGAACACATTTTATATTAGGTGTTTATCTTATATTTACAGATGATGTCTAGTAAGCCTCAGAGATGTCCAGTGGGATCTGGGATTTGAACCCATGTCTATTTCAATTTGTCCTCTCATTCCCTTTTTACACTCAGCTTTTCTTTTAACATGCCCACATTTTCCCTACGACTACAAAATGAAAATAAACAGAACCTTTATTTTTAAGCTCTTATCCTACTTTGCTTTCTGTGCAAATGTTTTAAAATAATAGTTGACATTTATTCCTTCTACTTCCATACCTCATCCATCTCTTGCATTCTAATGTCCATCGCCCGCTTACTGAAATAGAGAAAAAAGTCACGATCATCCAGCACTGCCAGTGATTCTCAACTTTTTAAGTAATTGACTTTGTGTGTTTCTTCAGAACACTTTCTCCTCTTAAGATTTCTGGTTCCCTTTTATGTCTCCCACTGCCTTTCCATCATCTTTTTGTTTGACTCTTTAAACTCCTCCCTTTTTCCTTTTTTTCCCATGGTCTCTTCAAATATATCTAAACTAATGCGTTCTGCATACTTATTTTGAGTCTTTTTGTGAGGTCTAGTCCAACTGGCAAAATATGGTATCTCAATTTCCTACCATAAACTCATCATATCTCAAATTTAAATTTCTCATCTTTCTTCATGCAAAACACCTTGAACCTCAATTTAAACTTCATCATATTCTTCAATTTCTTCTCCCTTTGTTTTATTACACAGCTTATTTTGGCAAAATCCTAGGGTATTTTAATGTGTTTTTCATGTGCATCACCTCTCCATATATTTACAATTGTTCTGGCAAAAGTTTATATTGATAATTGGTCTTAGTGATTATAATTATGCCCTACTTTTGCTTTCTGTAATTCATCCTACACACTGTTGCTAAGTAATAATACCACTAAATCACAGCTCAGAATATATATTTTATTGCCTGCTGGTTTTCTATATCTATGAGAACATTTATTTCGAATGAAACAAAAACGATTAAACACGTAAAGCTGGAGCACTGAAAAGCACCAGGCATGCTAAGGGCCAGGGATAGACAGATGAAAGAGCATGCCCGCTATCTTTCTCTTAACATTCAAAGACCCGTTAATTTCCATTTCAACATGCACTTTTTGTCAATTTTGTTTTCCACAGATCACTTTCAAGCATCCTTTGAAATAAACCCACTAAGATCATTTTTCCCAGAGCTTGCCCGTTTTGTACCTCTGCTGAGATTTTTCTCATTTCCTGGAATTATGACAATATTAAGCATAACTGTAAAAATTCTAAGTATCATTTGTATAGCGTAATAGTAGATCCAGTCCAACACTGCCTAGAAACTTGCACACACCATTGCATTTCACCCTCGCAACAATTCCATGTGGTTGGTTCAGCTATGTCTACTTCACAGATGAAGATATGGAAACTCAGAGGTGTTACATAACTTGCTACCATCACACAAGTCACAAAATCAAGCCAGTCTGTCACCTAAGAAACCCTAACCCTTCTCACTTTAATACACTACCTTTATTATCCTACATTTAATTTATTTTTTATACAACTTTGCTCATGACAATCTTTGTTCCTTTAGTTGGAAGTTTTTATTCCTCAATTTCCCAAGGGGAAGATTTTACAGGTTAAACATTTTTGTCACTTGTCACTTAGCAACTTAACATTCTAGTCATTTATGCACAAGTTACTATCTCTACAAAACGTGAACAATTTGAAGATGAAAAATTATGTATTATATATCTTAAATCCATCCCACTGTAGTTCTTTACAGAGAGACAGTACTCAGTAAATATTTATAAGAATCATGACATGCAAATGTGCATATTCTCTCTTATTAGAATATAATTTAGAAAATGTACTTGACAAATGAAAAGTAGCATCAGATTATTCTTGTTCAAAATATTCCTCCTTGGTAAACACTAATACCTGGACTAATTTTTGAAGACTGTACTTCTCAGTGGGGGAGAAGAATTGGGAAAAATTCTTTAGTGTGAGAATATCTTAGGGGAAAAGCTATAGTTTTAAAAAATACTGCTTTGTTTTATTCCAGTTATTTCTCTTTTATCAAAATTTTAAATTTGTATTTATAGTTGATATAAAACGATATGTATCTTGAGAGATCGTGTGTCAAAATAATTGAAGGACATTTTTTGTCATTTGTGTGAAATAGAAGAAGTGTTTTAAGTGTAGAAAATGATACCTGTGTGTGATAGAAATAAGTTTATATCCTATGAGCAGGTAACAAAAAAGAAAAAAAAAACTAGCTGGACTTTTTCTCTTAGGATTATATTTTCTTTGGATGACAATGATAAAAGTTCTCTTTACTATGTAAATTTGCCAGTCTAAGAATAGAGTGTATTATCTTACTGAGTTTCATCTTGCACCCTCAGCATCTATTATTCCTATTAACTCCAAGTTCAACCTCCACCTTGCCCTTTTCTTCTTCTAATTGGCAATGGGCAAATCATTTCTGGTCAAGATCAGGAGCTCATCTGTGGCTCTAACCTTGAACATCAATCCAACTCAAGAGCGAATCCCATTAACATCAGACTAATAAATGCAAAGATCCAGTGAAGAACAATAATGAACTTTGGCTCACACATCAGTCTTTGGCACCTCAGAAACTAAGTGTAATGAACAGTAGGTCACAACCTATAGCTTTCATAAAATGTCCCAGTTGAGATAGCATATTACACATTTAAAACAGTAATGGTGCCAGGTCATTCTGTCAGACATTTGTCAAGTAAGGATGTGCTCCTACACATCTAGCTCTTCTAGTAAACCAATATTCAGACACATAATGGCTGCTTGTATCTTCAATTATCTCCATCCTATCACATTCAGAGCTGCTTCCAGAGAGTCCAATACTACAGCCTTAGGCTATGGGATGACGATAGCATACCCTACAAACACATGAGAGCAACCTCAAACCTTCTAAATTGTGCCAGTTCTGGGCTTCTTTTGCATAATCATTTATCTGAAAGGACAAGAAATAATTTGCAATTTCAGAGTGTGATGCAAAAGACACAGATATTGCTCAACTTCAAACTACTGAGGGGAAGAAAAATAAGATTTTGGTTAATGTTCTATGGTTCAAATATAGTAAAGTCATCCTGGATTCCTGTCCTGACCTATTCTTTCCTTACCATTTAATTACTTCTTTTCACCTACTTTTCTCTTTTTTTTTTTTTTTCGAGACGGAGTTCCACTCTTGTTGTCCAGGCTGGAGTGCAACGATGCGGTCTTGGCACACTGCAACCTCCGCCTCCCAGGTTCAAGGGATTCTCCTGCCTCAGCCTCCCGAGTAGCTGGGATTACAGGCATGAGCCAACATGCCCAGCTAATTTTTGTATTTTTGTAGAGACCAGGTTTCACCATGTTGGCCAGGCTGGTCTTGAACTCCTGACCTCTCGGCCCCCAAAAGTGCTGGGATTACAGGCTTGAGCCACCGTGCCCAGCCATTTTTCTCTTTCACTTATTTATTTTAGCATCCTTCTCTCTTCTTATAGCTCATCTTTTATATGTGCTTATTTGAAAATGCACAATATAGTTGTTTTTGATAGACTTAAAATGATTTCTGCGGCATGCTATGAATATGTAATACCCCCGCAATCCACCCCACACATATTTTGAGAATTTTTATCCTTCTTTGTAAAATTAGCCAGAAGTCCCTCTGTTAACACATGTTCGCTTCCTCATTCTTTGGTGAATTTTGTTTTTCCCATAAGACGTATTTTAACACGGGAATGAATAAATGTATAGGGAACATGAGACAACCTGTTTAACATCCTTTTTATACGCCATTGGGGATGATAAAGAGCAATGGTCATTTACTTAACATCTTGGTAATTAGCCGCTTGGAGGGTGCAAGGCCTGTAACCAGTCTTTTTGATGCATCCGCCATTTCTGCAAGTGGCTGGAGTGGAGGTACAAATGAAGCTGAATAGAGGAGAGACTCTGCAACTGTATTCACTGATAGAGTAATTGCCTGCTTTGTGAATAGGATGCATTCTGGAAGTATATCAAATATATAGAGCAAATACTCAAATAGAATAGAACAAGAAATGGTTACAGTAAAACAAACTTTTCGTGATATTTACCACTTTTTATATTTTACTCAAAGTGTATATACTTTTTTTTATATGCAAGATAAACTGATAATTTCAACACAATCTGCACTACTTTGAAAAATGTACACCAGGGCCTTTCATGACTTGTATACAGTTCTGGCCATTCTCTTTATCTCAAACCGAAGAAAGATATGATGCAGGCAGTAGTTTTTTCTTAGTGCCTCATAGTATCTAATAGCAGAAAGTGAGCCGCATAGCGGAGCACATTAGTTTTTATGTATCTACAGGACAGAAGGGCCACTTAGCTGATGGCTCCAGGTTTCCTTTGATATAATCTAATGTTCCTATGACCTCAAAGACTGAACACATTTCCCTAAGTGCTTCACTTAGCACCCAGGAGCAACTTGGAGTCTTCGCAGAATAAAATCCATTATTTTAATGTAGATTAATACATGTGTACTTATATCTATGCAGGTCTATAATAGTTTATTCCTATGTAAGCTTTATTAAAAGCATTGGTATGTTTTACATAAAAAGTTAATGTGAATATTAGAAAAAAAGGACAATATTAAAGCAGTTTGTAGAATTTGTTCCCCCCCCAAAATGAATGAAATACACAATAGATTTTAAAAAAAGAAACAATGAAAGTGAAATGAGGAAAAGGTCTAATTTTCCCCTTAAATTTCACAATGTGTCAGCCAGACAGAGCATAATTTTGGAATAAACAAAAAGCCAGGGAGTCAATACAGGGTTTCTCCTTCTATCAGATATCTTGCTTTGGCAGAGAGTAAGAAGAACATCTCAAAAACCTCATTGGTGTTCTTAAACTGAGGGTGGAGACAGGGCGTGCAGGCTACTTGAGGAAAGACTGGGATGTGTACATGGAACTCACTTGCTCAATATGAATCCATGGCAACCTCAGGTCTAGGCCAGAAGTCCTGTGGAGTATTTCCTTGCAGAGGTTGGTGGTAGAAATGCAGTCTAAGATGAGCCATTGACTCAGCTGGAACTAACTAAAACCAGCAGAGATGGCTAAGCCACTAAAGAAACAAAACTCAACAAAAAATATGGTTGTCCAAATGCCCATCAATTGATAGACTGGATAAAGAAAATGTGACACATATATACCATGGAATACTATGCAGCCATAAAAAAGAAAGAATTCATGTCTTTTGCAGGGACATGAATGAAGCTGGAAACCATCATTCTCAACAAACTAACACAGGAACAGAAAACCAAACAGCACATGTTCTCACTCATAAGTGGGAGCTGAACAATGAGAACAAATGGACACAGGGAGGGGAACATCACACACCAAGGCCTGTCGGGGGCTGGGGGGCAAGGGGAGGGAGAGCATTAGGACAAATACCTAATGCATGTGGGGCTTAAAACCTAGATGACAGGTTGATAGGTACAGCAAACCACCATGGTACATGTATACCTATGTGACACAATTGCACGTTTAGCACATGTATCCCAGAATTTAAAGTTAAAAAAAAAATGGTTGTATCAAACCCCAAATCTTGAAAATATAAAAACTTAAAAAAAAGTAACCCACTCCCCTTGAAGCAAGGACAGGCGCACCTTACACGGGAACAGACATCCTCTGAAATGCAATTATTTTGCCTTTTGTTTGTTTGTTTGCTTTGTTTTTTCTACTATTTCTTTTTAATTGAAAGAGTAATAATGCAGTAATAGAATTATAACTGGTGGCATCACAGGGCTGCATATTAGTAACCTTAGCTGAAGAGCTGTATAAATATCTCATGCACATGTTCTGAAAGAAGTGGAGCTTTATGGCCCAGAGTGATAAGGAGGAAAAAATAAAAAATGCCTCCATACATTCAAATTTTATTAAAAGTTGAATTAAAACATAAACATGTGACAGATTTTAAAATTTAATTATTTGCAAAAGCGTTTTTTGAAATTTACCTCCTAATGTTTTGCCTATAAATTCATGTTTTTATAAATGAACCTTTTTTATTGCTAGAAGGTGGCAGGTTCCACATCATTCTTATTCCTATATCATTATTTTTATAAGATCTAAGAACTGAGAAATCTTGTTCTCAGAAATAAGTGGATAGGATTGGAAGGGCTTTGTTATAACAATGACATTTGATTCTTTGAACTCCTTTGAAGAATGACAACAAAAATTGCAGGTGTCCATTGACAATTCAACTAGGTATTTCTTCAAATTTTTAAAAGTAATTAAAAATCTAAAACAAAACAAAACAAAACAAAAAACACAAATGATTAGCAAGATTTTGTTACCCAGTCATCAAGGTGACTTACTTTTGAGAAGTGGAGATGAATGTTTTGAATTGCCCCTTCGTTTTGCATCCTGGAAATTTCAACACCTGGGGACAAAGCACCAAGGTAAAGTTAAAAAAAGTGGAGATATATTTTTCTCTTTTAAAAAAAGAAACATTGTGGGAGAAGAATTCTTTTGAAAAAGAAGAAATGAAAGAGGGACAGCAAGAATGATGAAAGAAGTATTCGAATGTGACACCTGGAAACCTGTTCTTTAAAAGTCTTTGCCTGGCCGCAGTACGCCTCACAAAGTCTTTGTGTAATCTCCAGGGTTAGCAGGCCTCAGATCAAAATTAGAAGCCTAAATGGCAAACTAACCAAATTGGTTTTTTTTTTATAAAGTAAAATCTCTCAATTCACTTTTAAAATAAACTTAATCTGGTTTGAAGTGTCCCTATGACAACCATCTCAATACTGAATTTTAATTATATGATAGGTATGTAGCTAATTACATCAAATAATAGTTAACAGTTAAATTGATCTCTGGCTGTATTTTTATTTTTATTTTTTTGAGAGCTTCTCTCTCTGTCATCCAGGCTGGAGTGCAGTGACATGATCTCGGCTCACTGCAACCTCTGACTTCTGGGTTCAGGCAATTCTCATGCCCCAGCCACCCAAGTAGCTGGGACTACAGGCAGGCACTACCATGCCTGGCTAATTTTTTGTAATTTTTTTGTATTTTTAGTAGAGACAGGATTTTACCATGTTGTCTAGGTTGGTCTTGAACTCCTGGCCTCAAGTGATCCATCTGCCTCAGCCTCCCAAAATGCTGTGATTATAGGCGTGAGCCACTGCGCCTGGCCTCTGGCTGGTATTTTATAAACTTAATAATGAAGAACTGATTCTCTACCGAAAAAAAAATGTATATATACAAAAAAAGAAAATGGTGAGGTATGGTGGTGCATGCCTGTAGTTCCAGCTACTCAGAAGGCTGAGGTTGGAGGATTGCTTGAGCCCAGGAGTTCAAGGCTGCAATGAGCCGTGATCATGCCACTGTACATCAGCCTGGGCAACAGAGCAGGACCCTGTCTCATAAAGAAAAATAACAACAACTACCACAAAATGAAGAATTGGCGAATGTAGTAACTAGATCCAAGTTCATGGTTCTTACAGTTACCACTTCACAAGAAAAAGCCTGTAAGATTTAAAGCTGAGGATCACATGGCTAGTAACACTGAAAGAAGCACTATAGAACAAGGGAGACGAAGTCATTCTGAACATTCAGATTACTTATTTTTAACAAACAACTTAATATCTCTATCTTTTATATACTTTTCAGATTATAAGTGTAATTATGCTTTAGAGATAAAGACAACCATGCAAAATCGTCAAAAACACTTCCTTGTAAAATGAGCCCTTCCTTCAGCTGACAGGGTTGACAGGAGATCCCAGGTGGGGAAAACACACCAAAAAGATTCTTATACTTAGGCTTTGCTCCACTAGGGACATTCACAAACAATCTCCAGGACATATTGGTTTCCTTGGGACTAAGGTATTTGTACAATGTCCATTTATAGGGGGTTAAAGTGCCTGTGATAGTGGTTGAAAGTTTTGACCCACTTTTACAGATTAATCAGCATTGTGGTGGTTACAGAATTTCCAGATAAGGCATGCTTGCTCTTCTCTAGACAAACTCATCCACGATATCTTAGTAACACTGATTCTGAGATACCTTTAGTATTTTAGGTAGATCCACACAGTGTGATTGCTAATGTTATTTGTACGGATTTAGGAGCCACCGAGTGGCTATCATTGAACTGTCAAATAAATCTCAATACCTAGTTAAAATTCTTTTACAAGTAACTTTTCATAAAGAGGAATAAATGTTTACAGTAAGGGAGTATTTTGTTTACTTGGGCAGCTTTCTATGAAGAGGAGCATTTCTTGCAAAGCAATATGCCTGAGAATTAACTTTAGATTTCATTTCTATTTCACTGGAGTAGATATGTTTAAATTAACTTATAATTTCTTAAGGAGTCAGATAAAACATTAATTTTCTTTTTAATTTCTATACTTGCAGCTAAGAGTCGAAAATGAACCTAAGAGCCCTTCATTCCAAAATCATGCACAATTTCTAGTGCTTGTCTACTATCTACATAAATGTTCTCTCTCTCATATACTCTTCACTTTTTGCCTCAGGCTGGATTGTGAGTTCCAGTTACAAAAATTGATTCAGCAACCCAGGCAGATGGAGTCTTCAGAGATAAGAGAATATCCAAAACAAGGTTAATTTTCTCTATTCTAGGTGAAAACTGTCAACAGATAATGTAAGATCAGAGTTAATTAAAGTTATGCCATTTAAGTCAGTTTTGGACAAGATGAGAGTTTGAATCACTGTCAGCTAAATATGTGGTTGTCCTTCATCCTGGAGGGGAAAAAGAAGGCAGTTTAAGATTTGTGCATTTTTGCTAATGTTATGAGATGTGAATAGCAAAGTAATCTCATCAATAGTAATAGTGTGGGTTGAAATATACTGTGTTACCTTATAGAAATGTTTTCTATCATACACGGGACCAGTTGGATACTGTAAAACTGACAGGGAAAAGAAAGTAAGAGGATTCTACTAATTAAACAGTATCTACAAGATTTCACAACAAAGGGGACACTGTTTGGTAACATTGTCTGGAAGAGTATTTGTTTAAGTAGTAAGTAAAGGTTTGGCATAATTAAGTTCATTTAGTGTAAGGGTTGCTACAACGTTTCCTCAATAGTTATAAAAATAAGCTAAGACTGCTCAAATGAAAAGAAATACAGGTTATTCAGTCAGAGCTTGCTGTAGCCAGGGAGTTGGCCACCATCACTTGCAATATGGCAACGAATCAAAGGCAGGCAGGCAGTGAGAAAGCTTTATCATGGGAAAACCAGAAGGCTGCAGGAATGCCCTGGTTGGAAATTATTGTCATGGGGAATCTAAAGGTTGGATAACTAGAAGCAAAACATCCTATTTGATGGGTGAAGCTGCATAATTAGCATTCTCTGGTTGGTTCTAAATTGGAAGCTGGAGGGAAACACTTAGGGAAGCTGGAAGTTACCCACCAATTCCTAAGCATTTGGACCAATCGCTGCAGACTGGTTGCTGCAGAGGTCAGAGTTGATTTTCTGTGTGTGGAACCACCATTGTCTGTTAGTGTATTCAGTCTCTCATAGTATAAAGGCCGAAACTGCTTCAGGATCCAGATAAGAAGCTCTAGAAATTAGAATTTATTAGGGTCATGTAGTCCTTAGTCTGCCTCATGGACATAGTGATTGGTCTAAAGAAGCATTCTTCATTTCTGCTGCCCTAATCATATTATTCCAGCTTCCACAGACTGATTCAATAGGTCCCGAAGCTAAATTAAGAACCAGGATTCTTCAATAATACATTTGAACTGGAAACAAAGAAAGAGTAAGACTCCACTGGAAAATGGGAGACTGTGAAACTAGGAATTGACAGTGACTATCTCTACAGCTGTGACAGACGTCAACCTGAGAGATAAAGCTGAGACCCAGAAGGCAAAGAATGTTACATACACAGAAAGAACATGTAAAATTGGAGCATCTATGTTTCTGCAACACATGAAGTATAACAATACCCCACCTTTCTTGAGATATTGCCTATGAGCCAGTTAATTACCCTCGTTTGTGAAACTGTTTGTCTCCTGCAGCCATTGAATCCTGATTAATACTCATTAAATCTCTATGATGTCATAGTATATATCAGGCACTATGGCTCATATTATTGTTTTCCCCTGATATTTGGTTATTTTCTTTTCAAGGCGCATGGAGACAGACCTCTACCTGCAATGCCCCCCTTGCACTTGGACAGAACCATGTAACTATTTATAAGCTATGACACATGAGCAGACATGACATGACGGGATTGATGGAGCAATGACCTCATCTTTTCTCCTGCCAAATATTATGAAAGAGGACTCAAGTCACTCACCTAAGGGACACTGGCTGAAAGTCAGTAATGAAGCTGAAAGGTCGCTAAATGCTGGCAAGTGAGATGGATTATAGTGTCTAGACTTTTTCCTGAGGTCATTCTATATCCAGCAGATATCTTTCAGTATATAGTCTATTCAAAACAATGTGCTAGTGACTATTGAGTGTGGTTACATTTTTTTTTTTTTTTTTTTTTTGAGATGGAGTCTCACTCTGTCCCCTAGGCTGGAGTGCAGTGGCACAATCTTGGCTCACTGCAACCTCTGCCTCCTGGGTTCAAGCAATTCTCCTGAGTCAGCCTCCTGAGTAGCTGAGACTACAGGCACCCACCATCACGGCCGACTAATTTTTGTATTTTTAGTAGAGATGGGGTTTCACCATATTGGCCAGGCTGGTCTTAAACTCCTGACCTTGTAATCTGCCCACCTTGGCTTCCCAAAGTGCTGGGATTACAGGAGTGAGCCACCAAGCCCAGCCAGTTACATTCTTTAAACAAGGAGTGGACATACCCTGAAACAAGAGATTAGTCAAAGAGATTTTGCTATTCATGGGACCTAAAAGGTGGCTGTACTTCCCTTTACTGCTTTTCCATACACAGCAATGCATGCTGTATGGGTTCTTATAGGTCAGAGCGTGAAAGAGAACCAGGACCTATAAAAGAATACAAGTCTCTAAAATCAGAAAGTTTATTATTTAAAAAAATAGTTATGTGCCAGTCTGCTTATAATTTTATTTTTATGACTGAGAGTGCCTTTCATAAGCACATTCTGGCAAACTATAAAACAAATAAATTGAAATTGAATAAAACCTTTAGACATTAGAAGTGTAGCACCAGATTTAGTACATAACTGCAAAACTTAAACATGCAATTTTACATCTGCAAGCACATTAAATTGAAAGAAACTTTAACTTAATTTAGATACATTAATTGATACAAACTTTTCTGGTATATAGCACTTCTTGGCGCATTGAGTATTCTTAATCTTTAAGGCACATGAATATAATACCTTAGGAAAGATCTGTTCTCCACACATTTCCTCTATAAAGTGCCAAAAAAAAATAACGAAGAGCCAGTTTGTCTTCCGCATCAGTGTGATTTAGCATACATAAATAAGTATCTTTTCACACAAAATAAAAGGTTCAGAACCCAAAGTGTCTGATTTTTATAGTGCTTTTTCTTTCCTTTTAAAAAGATAGCAAGATGAGGGTAAGAGGTAATTTAAGAGAAGTAATCATCTTCTAACAGCCAGCTTGCAGAAACTAAAACAAATATCAATGATGTAAAAATGTTGTTTTGACACTTTGGTAAATGAAAGTGTGAGATGAGTAAGAATATATTATAGGTGCTTGTATATCAAAGGCCTGTGAAAATGGCTGATTATAAAGGAGAAAGTTAATGATCTCTAATTGTGTTGTAATGTAAATGCAGTATCACCGTAATGAAGAGAACAGATTTGCATGTTAACAAAAGAAATATTAGAGGAGTGAGTGTAGGATGTTTGGGATAATTAATTCCATCCTCCACTCCTACATACATATGCATATACAAACTCAATTCAATTTTAAAGAGAACCCGAAGAACCAAAAATAGACTGAACACACTTGATGTTGTATGGGAGCTTAAATTACTATTTTTGTTGTTCTCTGTGACTATCTCATTTAGTTTCTATTGTGTTTGCAATTTCTTCCAAGGTGATTTTTAATGGATTGAGTAATGCATAAAAATTTGCAGAAGTATGCAGAAAGTTTGTATGCAGGGCCATGTAGAGCTTTTATCCTACAGTAAATCCTAGTAGTTTGCTGGTGCTGTGTGATTTTTTTTGTTTGTTTAGGGTTTGTGTGTGTGTGTGTGTGTGTGTGTGTGTGTGTGTGTGTGTGTGTGTGAAGCTTATTTATTCCATTTCAAGAAAAAGAAAAATAGACAAATTAGAATACCAAAAATAATTTGCAGCCAGTATCAACCAATTTATATTCAAGCTGAAAAATTAAAATAGCTTTCAGAGAATGGTAGAAGCATATTATTTAAAAAACAAACTATGAAGACATGGACAGAAGCATGTAGACATAGATAACAGAAATTTAAAGTAAAAAGTAGAAAATGAAATTATTCCCTTTTATACCTGAAAGCAAATGATTTCCATGATTCTAAGCCTCTGTAAAAAGCAGCAACAATTTCATCATTTTCCTATTCACTCTTCATATTATCTAAATCAGGATTCTGCAAAATTATTTTCCTTGAATTACTTTTAAAACATACCAGAAATGAATTCACTACTCTAATTATCACAGCAATTCAGGGAATTATTAAAAATCAAATCAAATCAAATGAAACTTCGTAAGTTGTTTACAAAAAAACTTCAGGTTCATTTGCTTTTAATGCAAGACATGGCAATGTATCTCGGCCTGTGGATGTCCTCTCCATGTTAATAGTAAGTGCAAGTTTATGAAAAGACTAGACACCGACACCACCTGGGGAAATCAAAGCTTACTTACCTAAAATGCACAGGAGCCAAGAAGCATGTTTAAGTTCATGGGAGGGTAATGAATGCTGTTCTCTAGAACATGTTTCAAGGAGCTGGACACGTTTCCTTACCAGGGGAGACTCACACTGCAGATCATAATTTCTGAGCAAGTGAGAAGTGAGAGTTCCATTGCACCTGTGGGAAGCTCTATCCTCCAAAGTGTAGCTTTACACACCCAGCTTGAGTCATTCTTCTTTCAGGTGTATCTGGACATACTCCAGGGACTAGCTTATCTGTGCCTGGTGCACTTCATTTATCACGATTAAACAATATACAATTTGACTGAAGGGCACAGTATAGGTCAGTGCATTTATGCATAACAGCAGGACTTATTAATCATCCTCAGCTCCTGCAGGCTAAGAAATCCTGCTTAAAATTTATTTGCATGCTTAGAACTAGAACAGAGCTTCGAAACTAGAATAAGGGTCACTTACTCTGATGTCTCTGGAAGCTCATGAGGTCAGCCCTGAACGCTAAGTTGCACTTCTTGAAACAGTTTTAATGCCCACGGCTATCTCCCAATTCATTCTGAGTTTGAGAAGGGAAAAAAATGAAATGATATTTAGTAGACTCCTATAACAGTTTGGGTAACACCAGCTGTTTTAACAAACAATCCTCAAAGTTAAAGTGGCTGAAAGTTTAAAATGTGTTTCTCATTAATAACATTCAAATAAAGGCATTTCTTGTCTGGGTGGCTTTTACCAGGGAGTAATTCAGGAAACTGGCCTCCAGTATTGTAGCTCCAACTTCCTAGAGGGCTTCAGAGTTCTCCTTTTTCAAATGACACATGTTGAAAGAACTGGAAGAAACATTTATATGTACCACCCTCTAAAAGTGGTACACATTAACCGGGACACAGTTGCATGGAAATATAGCCAAGCTATGTATCCAGAAAGAAGAAAAAACAAGTGTGGTAAAGAGCTATCAGTCTATGCCTCAGCTTTTCAAAATCCAGTCTTACGGCGCACAGATCTAGAGAGAATATGTAGACCTTATATTATGTAAAGGCATTCACAGAACTATTTTTGTTGTTGTTAACATACTTGAGCTTCCCTACGGCAATGTTCTTGTAGGTTTCCCAGACTAATAGCCTTCAAAATGGAGGTGAATATATACATATAAGAAAAAAATAAGTAACTTAAGTCTTCTAATAAGATATGTTTTATAAAAATATGAAGAAGATATAGTAACAGCTCCTTATAGCAGTGTAAGACCTTTCTTTCATCCATCTCCTCACCTATGGTTACTATCCTCACAATCCCATTTCCCTCTATGTACATTTTACTTTATAACATATGTTCTCATACACAAAAAATACAATAAAAAATTTTCCATTATCCAACAGAATTTATAAAGCCTACAAAATTTCTAAATATATCATTTTATATGTAATGAATATGCTTGTTATTTCCCATTAAAAAAAAATGCAGCGGCCGGGTGTGGTGGCTTATGCCTGTAATCTCAACACTTTGGGAGGCCGAAGTGGGTGGATTGCTTGAGCTCAGGAGTTTGGGACCCACCTGGCCAATGTGGCAAAAATCTGTCTCTACTAAAAACCCAAAAATTAGCCAGGAGTGGTGGTGGGCACCTGTAGTCCCAGCTACTCATGAGGCTGAGGTGGGAGGATTGCTTGAGCTCAGAAAGCGGAGTTTGCAGTGAGCCATGGTTTTATCACTGCAGTCCAGCTTGGCGACCACTTGTTCTTTTTTGCTTGTTTCTTTGTCTTTTGCTTTACTTTGCATCATAGAGATACGGGTGAAAATTTCTTTAACCCTTTAAGTGTTTCTACTTTGTCTCATATGCTATACCTCATTTGTTACTTGGAGTATACTCTTGGCCATGCTATTAGAAATGGATGATGTAAAAATGGCGCCCCCTGAAGTCAAGCAATGTGAAACATTTGTAAATTTCTACAACAAATGCCCTAAATTGTAGTCGCTTAATTAAAATAATTATTTTCTATTTACTGTAATAGTCAACAGGTAAGAAATGCAGTCTTGCATGGATGTCCCACTAAAAAATATATGCCATCTTTTAGTCCGTTGATACTTAGCATATTGCCCTCATCTTCATGGACAAAAATTGGCAATTTTTCTGTAAAATCTCTCTTTCATATTACTGATGACAAAATTCTGCACTTTATCTGAGGAAGAAAATGACAAGACTGACATGTGGGACTCACTTCTCACTGTATAATACCATCCTTGGCTCCTGCCCCAGGATAATTTTGATATTTTTAATTATCAAACCAAAACCAATAAGTTATATAAAATATAGGCAAAGTTACATTCACTGGGAGAATTTTAGCACTCTCAAAGTAACATATCAGTTCCTATTATCCAGTAAATTCCTACCACGTCCCATGCTCCCGGAAGTGTGTCCGGATTCATGTTTTTCTGATAGGTGAATGCAAAGTCACTAGCCATTGCCATTTGCCAGGGATTCAGAGAGACAGAAGTGTGGAAATTAACATTTAGATGTATGAGAAATATATGCAAGAAACTGAGACTGAGCAGGCAATTTGTAGATTGTATACAGTGTAGCCTAAACATGTTTGCTTCAGTGAATTTGTCATTTCTTGCATGGGGTAAGTCTAAAATTATTTATTGTTTAATTTTTTTCATTAGAAATAAACCCTCTTGGAAGTAATTAAAATGCATATTTCACAAAAAATTAGTGCGATGATGATGACAATCATGTAACTTGCAAAACTTGAGTGTTGTTTTATCACAAACCTTATGAAAACAGATGCATCCTTGCCTTAAAAAGGAGAAGGAAAAAGGAAATGCTCTGGGCACAGCATGAAGCCCAGAAAAAGAATATTTCCAACAGCCCCATGGACATATGGAGAGGATAGAACTTAACAGTGCTCATCATCTCTGGTCATCAGAGAAATGCAAATCAAAACTACAATGAGATAGCATCTCACACCAGTTAGAATGGCGATCATTAAAAAGTCAGGAAACAACAGGTGCTGGAGAGGATGTGGAGAAAGAGGAACACTTTTACACTGTTGGTGGGAGTGTAAACTAGTTCAACCATTGTGGAAGACAGTGTGACGATTCCTCAAGGATCTAGAACTAGAAATACCATTTGACCCAGCCATCCCATTACTGGGTATATACCCAAAGGATTATAAATCATGCTACTATAAAGACACATGCACATATATGTTTATTGAGGCACTATTCACAATAGCAAAGACTTGGAACCAACCCAAATGTCCATCAACGATAGCCTGGATTAAGAAAATCTGGCACATATATACCACGGAATACTATGCAGCCATAAAAAAGGATGAGCTCATGTCCTTTGTAGTGACTTGGATGAAGCTGGAAACCAGCATTCTCAGCAAAATATCACAAGGACAGAAAACCAAACACCGCATGTTCTCACTCACAGGTGGGAATTGAACAATGAGAACACTTGGACACAGGGCGGGGAACATCACACACAGGGGCCTGTCGTAGGGTGGAGGGATGGGGGAGGGATAGCATTAGAGGAAATACCTAATGTAAATGATGAGTTAATGGGTGCAGCAAACCAACACGGCACATATATACATATGTAACAAACCTGCACGTTATGCACATGTACTCTAGAACTTGAAGTGTAAAAACAATAATAATAAAAAACTTCCAGCCCAAACAAAAATAGTATTAGCTACATTCAGAAGACCCCACAGAAAGGGTATAGTTTCCCACAGACACCCTACTAGAAAGCAGCTTCGTGGACAACATTCACCTCACCGTTTCCCAAAGATCATCATCATCACATCCTCTGCCTTAGAACCTATAACAGCGTCATTCATGGGGATGCCTCTCGCCCCTTAAAAAGTACTGAGAAAATTATGAGACAGAGAAGAAAGGGGGAGGGGATACAATTAAACTTTGTTTACAGAAGCCTGGGCTCCTGACTTTGATTTTGCTACTAAAGTAGCCGTGGGGAAATATTTCTTGAAACAATAAAAATGATTGACTTAGGTTTCAAAGTTTTTAACTCACAATAAAGAATTTTTTCTCCTTTCTCTTGCACTGTTTTTCATAATGATGGTATAAAACATATTAAGGTGTTATCACAAACAATTACTTCATGAGATTATATTTGAGTTTGGGGATTTCAAAGTCATTTTATTAAAATTAGCTGTATTGTTACACATTTTGTCTGGAAAGTCTAAGTAATGTCATTAAAAGCCCAGTTTAATTGCTTTGAAAAAGCTTATGCTTGACATGATATTCAGTCTCTTAGATTTCACAATTCATTCTCCATGTATTACTACTATGACTGACTTGTTTGTCTCTTTTTGAGTTCCTTCTAGAATTCAAAAGCATTAAGATTTAAGTGTGGCTGACTGCCACGGTTACTACCTGAGACCGTCATTACTAGACTGAATGAAGAGACGAACATAGAAATGGTAACAAAAAACAAAAGAAACTGTTTTAAGGAAAGGCTAGCATGGGGAAGAAGAGAGCTCCCTGCTTCTAGTGGTCCTCATTCCATCTTTGCATTCAGATTCAACTGGTTCATGGTTCATACCGGGGGAACAAGGTCCATGGTTGGGATCCATGGGTCCCTCCAGTCTCCTGTTCAACGGTCGTACACACCTTGGGAGCACCCACTCGGTTTGTTCATCTTCTGCAAAGACGTAAGTATACCCTCGTCCCCACGTTAGTAAATCTACCAAACAGAATCAAAAGTGTTTTCTTTTTTATTTATTTTTTATTTTTTTTGCTGTAGCCGGGAGGCACGCCATTGCTGAAACATTTGTAACTCAGCTTCTGCCTCTTTGGTTAATTGCCGTGGGGTAAAACTTTCCACTGAGAACAAGAAGCAGGCTCTTTCTGATTAACACACGGCACAGAGAAAGCAAATCGAGGCTTATCCTTCTCGTAAAACAGTATAGCAAAAAGCAGTCCTTAAACCTTCAATTTGCACTGTACAGGTGGGTCCACTAGATGCTATGGGTGGTGATAGATAAATCTCTCTCCTAGTTGCACTTCCAAATCCCTGACCACCTCGCTTCTTCTTATGTGGAGAAGGGTACAATTTACAGGGAAGAAGCGAAAATTGAGCAACATATTCTCCCAGTTCAAAAACCCAAAGATCTTGTGACATTACCACTACCTGAATTTCTCCTTCACAATCAAAATCAACAACTCCTGGGCCTGTAAGTTAAGACAGCTTTTACCAAAATCAATCCCATGTATCTTGTTGGCAAAGATCCCCAAATACCAATGTGAATCTTAGTGAGTTTGTTTCTTTCATTTAATGTAATTGGTTCTCTGGGAGATCTAATCCTGCGTTTCCAGGTGTTCCTGGGGAGAGGGAATCCATGTGCCTCTGGAAACCCACCCCTGAAACGGAGTTGTGGCCTGGACAGGGAACGCCCTCATAGTTTGAGGTGCCCGGGTCCAGGCCCCCTTCTTGCTTCCCAACAGGGGGGTGCCGTTTTGATGAAATTTTGAGTGGTGTTGATTAGCCCAATGATTTCCTTTATTGCATCAAGGGCAAAGTCCGGCATTTTTTTTCTGTTAAGAGGGGGACTATGTTACAAGATCTCTTGTTCACAGAGGTCTGACGGCATTCTCTTTTGAAACGTCCAAGTTTTCTACACTTATGACACTTTCCCACTTTAGGGCTTGACCCTTGGCTTCTTTTAGATCTGTCAGCCACCAAATTTGCTATTGCCTGAGTCAATACTGCAGAGCAATGAAGCTCAGTTCCCACATCTTGACAAGCTCTGAGAAAGCCTCCCAAGTCCTCTGCACATCTCACAGGTGCCAGTGCACGTTTACAATCCATGAAAGCCAAAGCTAAAGTTAGCCTTTCTGTAGCCACCAAAGAAGACGATACAAGGCAATTTTCATTCTCCCTCTTCTGTTCACCATTTTCGATAGGCACTGTAGGTGGGGCAAAAAATTCTAAATAACAAAAAGATGGTACATACCAAAACTCCAAACAAACAAAAAAGAGAAAAGAAATAGCCAAATTCTTCCTCGTTTCCCTGTTTTAAAAACTTCCCATTCTTTGTACCTCTAGGGCACTGACCAGTACCTTTTTAGAGAACTAACCTTATGTCGCTGCCAACAGAGTTGTAATGGGCTTTCTCGTTCATCTAGTTGGTTTTAGTTTTTTTCTGTTCCAGCAGACCTTCCTCGCTCTAGTCCTATAGGACCCTATCTGTCCCTATCTGTCCCTGTCTGTTCCTCCAAATCTCTCCTAGTCTTTGCTAGTCTCTACTTTTGTACCTCTTTAGGACACAGACCAGTACCTCTTCAGGGCACTGACCTTATATTGCTAGTCTTTATCTATTCCTATCTGTCTCTGTCTGTCCCTATGGTACCTGTTAGTTCCTGCAAGTCCCCGTCTTTCCCTACCTATCTCTACTTTTCTCTACTTACTTATCTCTACTTACTTTTCTGTACTTACCTCCACTTATCTCTGTTTATCCCTGCAGGCCTCTTCAGGTCCCTCCAGGTCCTTTCAGGTCTCTGTATGTCCCTGATAGTCTCTGAAATGTCCCTGTTCAGGCACCATTTGTAGTTGACTGTCACTGCTACTACATGAGACCATCACAAGTATGTTGAATTGAGCCTGGAACTCCTAGATGATAAACATTTTTTTATACCAACCTTCAACTTTTTCATTAAAATTAGATTGGGTAGATACTATAAATAGTGTCCCAAGCACTAGTGGAAAGATTCTACCATGTCTTACACTGGTTACTATGAGTTTGGAGTCAGAGGTATAAGGCTTGAAGAAAAAAGCACAATGAAATACAATTTTATCCACCAATCTGACATTTTTAAGTTTTAGGAAAATTGTGTCTTAATTCAAGCTGCTATAACAACAACAAAAACAACATACACTGACTGGTTTAAACAATAGAAATTTACTTCTCGGAGTTCTGGAGGCTGAGAGTCCAAGATAAAGGTGCCAGTCAATGGTTACAGGTAAAACCTCCATTCCTTGTCATGTCCTCATAAAGAGACAGAGAGAGAGACCAGACAGAGAGAGAGAGAGAGAGAGAGAAAGAGAGAGAGAGACTCATGACCTAATTATTTCCCAAAGGCCCTGTTTCCAAATATCATCTCAGTGGAATTAGGGTTTTAACATACAAATTTTGGGGGCGACGCAAGTATTTTTAGTCCATACCAAGTTAGATGCAACTTTACCAAAATTATTGTGGGTAATTTGACAAGGTAAGAGAGGTCAGTGAAACGCAAATTATATGATAACTTCTTGGTGCTCAGGCAGTATACCTGCCAGGTTGTCTCCTGGCTAGAGGAATGAAACAAGTAGTATTCAACAAGACTTTGGTAGTGAGTAAAACATGGCATATAAGTTGTTTTTTGTGGGAATGACATAGTCTAAATATTATTTTGATGACATACCTGTGTATTGACCTCTCTTGCATCAAAATGACATAAACATGGAGAAATAATTCTGAAAGTCAGCAGGAACTTGCAACTCACTTCTGGGAGGGGACCACTTAGGGGAACTATGATATTAGACTGTGGCAATGTCGACCTCCACACAGGAGGAAAGAGTAGTCACATACCCTAAATCTTGCGTAACGTGGTGTCTTAAAATTTCAATAAATCTACTGAGTTAAATTAACAGCAAAGCAGAAAAATTTGCCAAAGCTATTTATAGCTCCATTAAAATGGAAGACAAGTTAAGAAAATGTGTGTTCTAAATAATCATGTCAGAAGTTAGTGTTTCCTTCAAATATAATCATAGGCCTAAGAATTTTTATCCAAGATTGATGAAATTTTATTTTACGCAACAATAAATGGAACACAAAGGCTGCACATCATTTTTTTGTCTTCTGTACATATCACTAAAAAAAAAAAGCATCAAACTAAAACAATGAATATAATATTAAATAGGGATTTGTTAATTGCTAATATTTTTAATATAGAGAAAGAATAATGTTTAATGATTAATTACAAAATTGATGAACTAGAATAGTGAGAAATCAAGGAGAGCTGAAATTTATGGAACTTTATGATAAACTAATAAAGGACAATTTTATTCCTAGCATTTTAATTATTTGCTTTATCATTGCATTTTAAATGCAATTATCAAAAATAAAGGTTATAACTAAGAATTTCAAAAATTCTAATTATAGCAGAATTGGTAACAAAGAATTGAATACAGAGGGTGAATCTTATATTGCTTTATTATTATTAAAACTAAGGAAATATTTAGAATTTTGTGTACTAATTTAGCTACGAAGGAAAAGGAGGGCGTCATCATTTTAAAAATGTTTCCACATTGTCTACAGAAGCCTAGATTATTAAAAAAAAGAGTGGCCTCAGATAGATATCTGATTGGAATACACTACAAAATCTAGTAGTCAACTTGTTAAGATATCTGAAGATTCCATTTAAGACAGATTGTGAAAAAATATACTGGAAGAAATAGATTTTATTTAATATCCTTAAACATAAAACTTTGTTACCTTCTAAAACACTATATTTAGTTTTATTTCTATTTTATAATATTGTATATGATGTGCTTTCTTTTCCAGGTAAAACTAACAAAAGACAATAAAATGTTACTAACTTGAGTTATGGTTAAAGTAGAAGAGCTGTGGATATTACACTACATGAAAAAAAATTCTTCCACAGATATTATTTGTGTATGCATACATCGATAGAGATACACATAGATAGATACAGATACAGATAGATATCGATATAGATATAGACTTGGCTATAGAGACTGTGGGTTTTTTAATACAGCAAGAAAAGAGAAATATTTATTTACACTGGATCAACAAAGGAACTAGGCTATTAACTCAGATTGTAATAGTCTAAAATTTTTCCAAAAATTAGGAAAAATAAAATATTTATATGAATTTTACCTGGAAGTGTTTCAAAATAGTTTGCAAAGAGTGAGAATGAATTTCAACTTGTGAGTAAAGGGTAAAACTGAAATGAAAGTTAAAACAAATAGTTTCCCCCTTTCATTATTAGATCATGATTTATTGAAAACAATCTTGATTGTTAAATATTGATTAAAATTAATGAAGGTGCAGAGTTCCTAAGACCTTGTCATTTGAACGTTATGAATATCTTCACAATGAAAACATTATTCGTGTTATTTATGTGAGCTTATATGTACTTTTCCGCATAAATAATTTGTACTCTTAGTTAGAAACAAATGAACTATGGCTTTTGGTGTGGTTTTGTTTATTTATGAATAAACATTAAGAACTGTGCTTATGAAATTTTCAGGAAATATACTGAATGCTTTAATGTACTCTGTAACATTGCAACATATAATTTCCCCTCTTCCCTCACTTTTTGATGTAGCTATCATTGCTTTGAGTTTTTATTTACTGGTTATTTTAAAGAGCTTAATGGTCTCATTTACTTAAAAGTGGAATAATATTGGACTACTATTTTCTTTTTTTAACCTCTCTAGGTCATTCTACAGTCATTACCTTCCATCCTATTTGTTTCTGCAGAATCTACGTATGTAATACCTATAAATTTTCTTTTCATATTTGTTCACTCATCCACATCATTAATAAAGTTATTAAGTGAAGACGAACCCAGCAGTAGCACTCCCTTACCACCTTGAAATATTGTGCTGATGTAGAGGTTGTATCTGATTTAATTCTTCAAGGATTATTAATGTATGTGGAACTAGCTTTTCAGCCATGGAAATCTTTAGTACGTATTTAAGAAAAAGTGATTTAATGCTCAGTAGGGAAATGTTGTCCAAAACAGTGCCTGAAAAAAGCAGGTATGTGTCCACATTGGGCACACTGCAGGTGGGGTATATTGTTGAGATAGGAAGGAAAAATAAAATGTGAGAAAAGGCAAGAGACAGAAAACAAAGTGCAGGTCGGGAAGAGACAACTTTAACTTCCACCATTTGTTAATCAATTCTGAAATATTTTCATTTTTACAGCCTAAAATTATGCATGTGTTGGCATTTTTTTAAATGGATGATATTACAGTTTTCATTCAAGCATTGGTATAGAGCCTAACCTTTTGTTATGGATGAGATGTTTAGATTGTTAATCTGGAAAATCTATTTTCCTGTTATTGAAGTCACATATATACATATATGTATATATACTTTTATATATGTGTCTATATATAGTAAAAATGTGTATATTTATTTTAAAAAGTATTTTGGTTCATGTTTTTGTTCTTAATGTTGTCCTACTAAAATTACTTAATCATAAATCTTTCTACTAACAGTAAGGCAGAAACAGAGTAACAAGGGATTTTTTTTTTCTATTAAACTGAAGACAGAGAAGTTTGGTATTTATTTTTACCTAATATAGCAAACTTCAAAAAACAATCTATTTCAATAAAAATATTTTCCCCAGCTACAGAAATAAACAAGGGATAATATATAATCTAAAAATGTAATGGAAGAAAAGGCACAGCATTAAGAGATTGCCTTATTTTCCTTTCTAGCACATCTTGCTCTTAAAATATCCATGAGTCTATAAAGGGTGCTATTTACAAGGATCAGTTTCCCTGTATTTCTGGGTTGAATGATCCTCTACTTTTACTATCCTTTGCTAAACATGACAAAATAAGAAAATAAAAGATAAATATGAGATGAAGACCTCAAATGACATCAATTTCATTGCCTCTAAAAAGTTGTGATGATGAATGTTACCACTACTCAACTGAGTTTATGAAAAGGCAAATATACTTTTAAAAATGTAGGGGTGCTTATACAAAGACTTATGTGTTTACGTTTACTTTTTTTATAAAGCTGATTTAATCAAAAGATTTAGTTAAGGCCGGGCGCGGTGGCTCACGCCTGTAATCCCAGCACTTTGGGAGGCCGAGGCGGGCGGATCACGAGGTCAGGAGATCGAGACCATCCCGGCTAAAACAGTGAAACCCCGTCTCTACTAAAAATACAAAAAATTAGCCGGGCGTAGTGGCGGGCGCCTGTAGTCCCAGCTACTTGGGAGGCTGAGGCAGGAGAATGGCGTGAACCCGGGAGGCGGAGCTTGCAGTGAGCCGAGATCCCGCCACTGCAGTCCAGCCTGGGCGACAGAGCGAGACTCCGTCTCAAAAAAAAAAAAAAAAAAAAAAAAGATTTAGTTAGTAATTTATTGACTCAAATACTTTATGCCTTCTATTTCACATTTTTTACAGGTTTATAAGTCTAGATACCTATGTCAATTAGTGAATTTTCTACCAAGAGTTCATGTTTTGTTGCTTAAAGGCAGATAATTTTTGTATTTAAATAATATTAAAAAGAGGAAAATATTTCAAAATACCAAGATTGGGAGGTGTCTGGGAGATTTATATGTATTGCTTTTATTAACTGTCTAGCACTGGATTTATAAACCAGCTTATTTTTTTAATTTAAAAGCTCTCTGCCTTGCAATTTAATTCACATGATCTGCATTAACCATGCCATATTCAAAATTTCATTGATAAATTCTATCCAGTAGTCAATATCGAATTGTAAACTGATGTAATGTGCTTTAAAATATGAAGATTTAATCTTTAAAATATGAATATTTGATTGAATAATTACTACCACTAAAATCATGTTTACTTATTAGAATTATCATATAGGAATTGTTTTATAATGTATATGTTAATTGAATGTGATTTCTTAATACTTAGGATATACGTTAAGTATACATAAACAAATTGGAAATAAAGTTCTGATATACTGTTCCATGAAAGTTTCAAATCTTTATATTAAAGATTACCATTTGAGTCAGAGGCAATGATAGGATTTTCTGTACTTTATCCACATGTTTATATATACACATATATATATGTTTTCATATAACCTTTCATAAGGATAGAAAAGAACTATGAATGTTTCTCCATCAGGCATCTTTCAAATACAACATAACAATAACTTCCTTAAGTATTTTATTTAGGCAAAAACTATAAAATGATGGAATGGAAAAAGAATTCTCAATGATCAAACCAAAGCAATTATATTTGATTCTGAATTTTAAAAGATTAGTCCATCAATTTATATTTAGAGGTTAGAAAACACATTCTGAGAGACAGAAAATTATATTACTTTTCTAACTTCCTGGAGAATATTGTGCTTTGTCAAATTTTACATTTATGAGAAGTTTTATATTAAAGCTATAAAATCTATCAGGGTAAGTTAATATGAGTATTTGAAAGTTTCACTGTTAAATTTATATTATCACATATTAAATGAAAGAACTGTTAACTGTGTACTGAATTCAAAAGTTAATATAGCTTCTCTCCTTTTTAAGAAATGGGACACAATATTAAAAAATTAAAGAGTTTTCAAATATTTATACTTAAATTTATATCTAAGGAATTATATATAGAATGCATACCTTTCAAGTAGATACTATTGTTGCTGTTAAGATTATTGTCAACAAAATTTAAATACACAGACTATTAAATAAAGAAATTAAAACAACAAAAAATAACCTCTAGGCCAGGTGTCCTGGTTAACCTGTAATCCCAGCACTTCAGAAGCTTGAGGCAAGAGGATTGCTTGAGACCAATAGTTTGAGACCAGCCTGAGCAGCAAACTGAGACTCTATGTGTATCAAAAAATGTTTTAAAAGTAGCCGGGTACTGAGGCAGGCACTTGTAATCCCAGCTACTTGGGAGGCTGAGGTGGGAGGTATGCTTGGGCCCAGGATTTTGAGGCTGCAGTGAGCTGTGATTGCACCACAGCCCTCCAGCCTGGGAGAGAGAGGAGACCTTGTTTCTAAAAACTAACTAAATAAACAATAATGTAAAAAATCTCTCTTTAGGTGTATGCTTCTCTTTGCCAGTGTTTAAGGGTTAAAAAAATCAATATGAGAGATTAACTAAAGTACCAATTTAGAGTTAAATGAGTGCATTTGCCACTTGAGTGCCGATTGCCTCGCATGACAGACAATATTAAGTGCTGATGACTTTAACTTTCACAAGTTTTATGCGATAGTGGGATAAATTTTTACTTAAAATGTGTTAAACTTCGGTTTAATTGCACTAATTAATGTCTCAATAGATATACTGTTGTATCTACCTCAAAATGCAAACACCAATGAAGTAATTCATCAGAAGACTTGATATGAATAAAGAATGGAACAGTAAAGTTGAAGATAAAAAACATAGAAATTGAATAACAAATACAAGTAAGAAACAAGAAGAGTGATAAATAGCAGAACATGGCATCCAAGAGCTGAAGGACAGCTCTGGATGCCTAACTTGAACGGATTCATGAAAGAGAACAAGGATGATAAATACTTAAAAACAAAATGAATGAGAATTTTCCAAAAGAAGTGAAGGCAATCAAATCGTAAATCCAAGAAACATTTCTAGAGATATAGGGGCTACGTAAACAAACTAAAAAAAAGGTAAAAAATTATATGAAGACAAACATAGTTGTGTTGTATGTATTATATAGTTAAATATACGTTATACACAGGCACGAAGAAAAGAAGTACAGGAAACCTGTCCTCAAGAACTATTTAACTGTATACTGGAAATTTTAACCAGTGTACTAAAGTAAGAAAAATAAACAAAAGGCATACAAATTGGATACGAAGAAATAAAACTCTATTTGATTCGTGGATGGTCTATGCACAGTATTCCATTATGTACAAAATAATTAAAATTATTAGCAGTGAAGCTGCTAGAAATAAATTGTGAGTACAAAATAATTAAAATTATTAAAAGTGAAGCTACTAGAAATAAATTGTGAGTTTTGTAATTTCACACTATGCACTATAACACTATAATGTTAATATACAGAATTATTTTTTATATATAATTGTTGCAGGAAAAACCCAGACCTGTGTAGAAGAACATCCCTCTGCCAAAGAGATAGTGCTGAAATAACAAAGAAGGACTCAGACAAGTCCAGCTTCATGAGAAGATGAGTTTATTAGGACTTACGTAAAGGGCAGCGGGATAACTCCAGAGATCCGCCTGCTGCCCACCATCTTCCTCTAAGCTGCTTTTAAGCTACTTTTTTCTTTTCTTTTCCCCTTTCCTTTCCTTTCCCTTCCCTTCCCTTCCCTTCCCTTCCCTTCCCTTCCCTTCCCTTCCCTTCCCTCCCTTCCCTTCCCTTCCCTTCCCCCCTTCCCTTCCCTTCCCTTCCCTTCCCTTCCCTTCCCTTCCCTTCCCTTCCCTTCCCTTCCCTTCCCTTCCCTTCCCTTCCCTTCCCTTCCCTTCCCTTCCCTTCCCTTCCCTTCCCTTCCCTTCCCTTCCCTTCCCTTCCCCCCTTCCCTTCCCTTCCCTTCCCTTCCCCTTCCCTTCCCTTCCCTTCCCTTCCCTTCCCTTCCCTTCCCTTCCCTTCCCTTCCCTTCCCTTCCCTTCCCTTCCCTTCCCTTCCCTTCCCTTCCCTTCCCTTCCCTTCCCTTCCCTTCCTTTTCTTTTCTTTTCTTTTCTTTCTTCTTTTCTTTTCTTTTCTTTGACGGAGTCTCGCTCTGTCGCCCAGGCTGCAGTGCAGTGCCGGGATCTCGGCTCACTGCAAGCTCCGCCTCCCAGGTTCACGCCATTCTCCTGCCTCAGCCTCCCGAGTAGCTGGGACTATAGGCGCCTTCCACCACGCCCGGCTAATCTTTTGTATTTTTAGTAGAGACGGGGTTTCACCACGTTAGCCAGGATGGTCTTGATTTCCTGACCTCGTGATCCGCCCGCCTTGGCCTCTCAAAGTGCTGGGATTACAGGCATGAGCCACCGCGCCCGGCCAAAGCTACTTTTCTGGCTCTTTGCTTACTACATGTGATGAAACTGTTCTTCTTGGTATGTACCTAGATATGCTCCCGGATGTTTTGGTTTTCAGGGACATCTGCTCCTCGGCTGAGCACCATGAACTTTGCTCACCATCTAGCCTTCAGGACTCAAGCAGTCAACATATGCCCTTAAATTCCCTGGTGGGGGACCCGCTACTTTACAACACTATTAATGAACAATTGGAAATTAGAATTTTTTAAAGTTACATTTAAAGTAGCACAAGAAACATTAAATTCTTAATCTAAAAAAACATGGAGAAAGGGTAACAAAAACTAAAAAAACACTGGTAAAAGAAATCAAAGAAGAAGTAAATAAGTAAAGAGCTTGGTAGCCAATATTGACAATAAATTAATTCTGTTCAAACCAAACAAAAAATTCAATACAAAAATTCAATCCAGTTAAAATTCCTAACAGGATATTTGCAACTAACAAACAAGCTCATTCTAAAACTTTCAACAGAGAAGCAAAGGAATTATAATGGAAAAATCATTTTGACAATAAAAAAATTGAAGAATCCACTGATTTATATGTATACTATATACATATATGTATATATACATATATTATATATACATACATTATTATACATATATGTAATATACATATGTATATCTGTTGGTGACTTTAACCATATGATTCATAATTTCAAAAACTGGTGAATAGTCAAAAAGTTATATACTGTATCTATTTAATATCACATTAGGAAGAAAAAGAAACAAATCTGATAACATAACAACATGAATGTGTCTCAGATTTATTATGCTATTTAAAAAGCCAGATTTAAAGGCCTATTCAGGATGCTGTTTGCTCCCTTGTGTATGACATTCTAGAAAATATAAAACCATAGGGACAAAGAACAGCGATTTCCAAAGACTGAGGGCAGCAGAAATACTGATTCAAAAGGCACAAAAGGGAATTTTTCTAGGTGATGTTACTGTTCTATATCTTGAGGATGGTATTTGTTATATAACCATCTATGTTTTCAACACACTGCATACTTAAAAAGATGACTTTTGGCATATATAAATTTTAATTCGATAAACCTGAGTTTTTAAAACAAAGATTTTCTGTAACCAGTAGACTCATAACACTGTCTTCCTGCCATTGACTAAGATGGTTTCAATAGTGGATTCCTCTTGTTCATGCCAGCCAATGTGTCTTTTGTTTAACCAAAACCCTTGAAATATCTTTGCCTCAGGCTTTTATTGCAATTTCCTGTAATTTAAAGACTTCACCCTCCTATTCACAGGAGTTAGTATCTTGAAATGGTAATAACTTGAAAACAGCTATGGTGGGAGGACTTACTCTTTGAGTGTAACTTACATACATGCAGCATACACCATGTATCAAGACTTTCTTTTTTTCTGGTATTTTTTTTTTTTTTTTTTGAGATGGCGTCTCACTCTGTTGCCCAGTCTGGAGTGCAGTGGTGTGGTCTCAGCTCGCTGCAACCTCCACCTCCCTGGTTCAAGCGATTCTCCTGCCTCAGCCTCCTGAGTAGCTGTGACTACAGGCACCATGCCACCACGCTGGGCTAATTTGTGTATTTTTTATTAGAGACGGGGTTTCACAATATTGGCCGGGCTGGTCTCGAACTCCTGACCTTGTGATCCACCCGCCTTGGCCTCCCAAAGTGCTGGGATTACAGGCGTGAGCCACCGTGCCCAGCCGACTTTCTTTTCATTTGGATCACTAGTTTACCAACATCACTGCCTTTACTCAACTCTATTAACAATTATTTAACCTAGTTTATCAAGTCACTTGTCAAAATAGAGATTTATATTGTTTATATATGTAATATTTTACAAATCTGTATTTTTGTACTTCACTATCTAATTAAACCTTTGGGGTAACTTTTATGTGTATCCCAAATAGGACAGGACAGTCATTCATTTCTTATAATGTATCAGCTAATTTCAAGGAGACATCGGAATTTTTGTGGAGACATCGGAATCTGAAGAGCAAAGTGATTCAAATTGGGTCACAGATTAAATAATTTTTAAAATGTTTACTTTAAATATCTTAAAAAACTTTAAGGAGAAAATTAATTTTTCTATATTGTTCTTGGCCTTAAAATATACATTAAGCATTAGTTTTCTGGCTTTTGATGTTTTTCATAAAATTAGCTCAAAAAATGCAAAAAGCTTGTATGAATATATAAGGGCCTTTGTAATCATATTGTAATTGCTTGACATAGTTAATTTCTTGATTTCTGACTCTGGCATCTGAGTTTCATAATTGTTATGTAATTACTCTATTTTTTTAAATCATGTTTTTAAATGGAAGTTTCAGTCTCAGATCTTTTCTATTTCATGCAATAAATAATTTTTAGCAGTAAAGAATTATTTGGCAATAAATATTTTTTGAGACGTCATGCTCCAATGATATAATTTAGTCCACTTTCTGCTTGAAAATATGCAAAGAAGAAATCTCTTGTTGGTATTAATTTCAGAAGTCGTCTTTGCACACACAATGATGATCATTCTGTTTTCCTTAGATAATTCATGGTAGTGTAACCCAATAATATAATCTTAGATGTGTAACTTACATACATGCACGTGGCACATGAAGCATGTGGTGTACTGAGATGAAAATAAGCTTGTAAAAGTCATTGGTTACCTAACTGCGGCTTGGTACCTAGCACACCCTACCTGCAACGGTCCCAACAGTTACACTGGCTCTATTTGACTTAGATGATGCAGGGGTGGGTTCAAAATCCCTCTCTTTTTCCTAATTACATACGACTGAGCATCCCTTCCCTTGTCTCAATCTGGGATTTTGAGAGTTTATTATAAGATCCCCAGTGAAAATCCACCCAGGTGGTTCTTCCCTACCCTCTTTAAATGTTCACACCCTAGTGTGAACAAGCTAGAAGTGGATTCTTTGAGGCAGTGACAACAGACCATGTTCAACTTCTACACTCCTTGATGTTTGTGTATTGGAAGAAGGTGTGACAAGATGCCAGGCACCAGAATTTCCGGTTGGTCTTTATGGAATTCTTGAACTCTAGGGCTGCATCCCTCCCTATAATGAGGCAAAGTTGGGGAAGTAGAAAGTTCAATGCAGCCTATGATTTTTACCTCATGGTTTTCTATAACCTAATACATATCACATTGAATTATGTGTTAACTCGTGAGCATTCAAATTAATAGAGCATGCTGTACCAAAATATTGTCATTATTTTGGTTATTATAAATTATATATGGCCATGATCAGTGCTATAGGGCAAGACTATATCATTTTTTACTTCTAGGCTAAAAGGATTATGTTCCTACACATGAATTATGTAACTTTTTAAAAAAAATAGTGATATTTTTCTATTAGAAGTTAAAGCAATTAGTTCTTTACAACATTGGCTACGTACTCAAATCAACTGATTCCTGGGTTTCCCCTCAATCCAAGTAAATTAGGCAGAGAGCAAAACTAAGGAACAGTATTTTCAAAGAGGACCAGGATTGACAATGACTGGTATTCAAATAGCTGTGAATTTGTGCAAATGTAGCAGAAGACAGCAAAGGGTTCTGGATATGCCAATTATTATTTATTTTTATTATACTTTAAGTTCTAGGGTACATGTGCACAATGTGCAGGTTTGTTACATATGTATACATGTGCCATGTTGGTGTGCTGCAGCCATTAACTCGTCATTTACATTAGGCACATCTCCTAATGCTATCCCTGCCCCCTCCTCCCACCCCACGACAGGCTCTGGTGTGTCGTGTTCCCCACCCTGTGTCCAGGTGTTCTCATTGTTCAATTTGCACCTATGAGTGAGGATATGCGGTGTTTGGTTTTCTGTCCTTGCGATAGTTTGCTCAGAATGATGGTTTCCAGCTTCTAGAACTGGAAATACCATTTGACCCAGCCATCCCATTACTGGATATATACCCAAAGGATTATAAATCATGCTGCTATAAAGACACATGCACACATATGTTTATTGCGGCACTATTCACAATAGCAAAGACTTGGAACCAACCCAAATGTCCATCCATGATAGACTGGATTAAGAAAATGTGGCACATATACACCATGGGAATACTATGCAGACATAAAAATGTATGAGTTCATGTCCGCTGTAGGGACATGGATGAAGCTGGATATGCCAATTATTATTAAAATAATTTTTGGGTTAAGCTGATTTTTACTTTTCTGAAAGAAAGATCCAAACACAATGCCTATAATAAATCTTAGAAATTGTCTGTCTCCATTGGTGAGATTAGTCAGTATAAACACTAACATATATAAATAAAACCAAACAACAGTTACTCTTTTCCATAATGTTATGCTTTTGTGTTCAATGAAATATTTAATTTAATTACTAAATTTCTAGCATTTCTCTGAAGGATAAAACAAATAAGCAAACAAACAAATTAACAAGAAAAACCCAAAATAACTTCAATGAATTAAAACTGTCTAGTGCTACCTTTCCTATAATTATCGTCACCAAATAAAGTGCCTATTGGACAGAGATGGCTGGTTCACTGCAATCTCCATTGACCCTTTCGCCATCAGTAAAAATGTCCTCTAATGCTTAGCCGGACACATGATCACCAGGAATAAATGCTATATTCCCAATCTTTTCTTAACATAGGGCATGACACATGTGACCAATTTCTGACCTATGTTGTGTAAGGGGAAGTAACGCGTGTAACTTCTGAGAAGCTGACTTACATGCAGGGGGCATGTCCTATCTCTGTGCTTTCTTCCTTCTTGGAAAGGCAGCTCTGATGGCTAGATCTGGGGCAGCCATGGGGCAACATGACAAGCAGCAGTACTTGGAGGTGCAAAGCAACAAGATAATAGCCATCTGGATTTCTGATGATCATGAAGACATCATATCTGAACTGGGGTGTCTGCATATCCCTGAGAGGCAAAAAATGTCTATATTGTTTCCGTGAGTTCTTAGCCTACACTGCACATACGAGTTATCAGAGAACTTTCAAAATTTATCAAATGCCCAGTTCTATTAAGGTATCTGGAAACTTATTCTTGGCCTATAATTTTCCACTGGGTCAACTATAACCCAGGTTTATCTGTCTTCTATATCCAGAGACTGTACCCTGCTCCTATGCAGTCTTGCTCTCTCCATAGCTTCATATGTGCAGCAGAACTCACCCTCTGCCTTCCATAACCAGGAGTGGGGCGCTACCTTCCCTCACCTGACTCCTGTGCTGCAGAAACTTGCTAAGAAACACGGAGCATATGTTTCAGACTCAGAATAAAATTATTTTTACAGTCACCAAGTTTTAGAGGTTCTGATTTAGTGTATCTGGGTGTGTCCAGGGTACCAGTGTGCTCCCTTCTCACTCAAATGAAAATTACTGGAACATGATGTTATTTGGTATTCAGTTACACAAAGCTGAGTGTAACTGATTGGTTAATAGTAAAAGTTTTGATTTCAGTAAAATAGTTGAATTATTCTAAACCATAACTTTGTAGCTACATGATTTGGGTGAGATGATTTTTTTTTTTTTTTTTGAGAAGGACTCTCGCTCTGTCACCCAGACTAGAGGGCAGTGGTGTGATCTTGGCTCACTGCAACCTCCTCCTCATGGGTTCAAGTGATTCTCCTGCCTCAGCCCCCCGAGTAGCTGGGATTACAGGTGTGCACCACCATGCCGGACCGGTTTTGTACTTTAGTAGAGATGAGGTTTCACCATGTTGGCCAGGCTGGTCTCAAACTCCTGATCTCAGGCGATCCACCTGCTTTGGACCCCCAAAGTGCTGGGATTACATGAGTTAGCCACCACACCCTGCCTGAGATGATGTTTTTGAGCCACAGTATTCCCATCAGTAAACCGGACATACTAATTGTAATTTCAGGTATTTTTGTGACACATATATTGTTGAAATTATTATTATTAAATTACTGACTTTAATAATACATTCTTAAATTAGTTATTATTATAATAACATAATTAATATTGAAAGCAGTTTATAAACTTGCGTGGTGCTAGGGGGCACTACAATGTAAAGGAATTTATGTAATAAAAGTAAAGATGCAACGTTTGATTTTATTTTTCATGTTTTGTAATGCAAAAATTAACTGTCCTTTTATTTAAATTACAGCACATGCAAATTAACTTTTAGGTATATAATTATTCTGAATTATTTCAGAAAACTATTATGGTCTCATCACTGGATTAAAAAATGTAATAATATTCTCAGTTTAAAGAAAATGCACAGGTTTTAAATCCTCTGTGATAAGGGCCCATGAACTTGGAGCTGCTGATTTTTTTTTTTTTAATTTGCAGGGTTTTTACATAACAAATTATCAGAAACCAAAGCACCCAGATATCAGACTATGAATAGAAAACATCTTTCCTGAACAAGTACAGGCTTTATTACTTAATTGTATTTACACTGATGAGTGCACACAAAGAAAAATCAATTTGTGGGAGTTTATTTCATTGGTATTGAAATTGTATCTTCCTTGAAAAACTTGGCACACAGTGCCTAGTTTGTCTCCCAGTTCATTATATTATTATTTTACTATATTCTGTGCTGTTATGTAGTTTTATATGGGCTCACTAGTTGAGTGTTCAAAATTGCTTTTCTGAACTATAGAATATTAACTTCCAGTATTTACCAAAAAAATGTTATTTATTAAAAAAATCACAATAAAAGGGCATAAAATAAATATAAATACTCAACATTTTCAAGGTTCTTGTGGAATCATTCTGAAAGCATTAAAAGGAGAGGCTGGAAATCTGCGTTTATAATATTGGTCATTTCCCTACCTACTTAATAGTAACATTAAAGCTTCCTCAGTATGCTTTCTGAAACAAGTAAAAATGTTCTTTTACCTTAACTTATACTGTGGAAAATCTCAAAGGAATGCTAGAAAACCATTCCAATGTACTCACCCAAACAACACAAAATACCCACACCTTCTCCAATTCAAACAATCATTTAATTAATCGAAAGAGCTGAGATGCACTCCCTCTCTACCTCATAAGGGCTTCCATCATGAACTTGATTGTGTCCTAAATTCAGTCCTCCAGGAGAAGCTCATCACCCTCCCCATGTCCTGAATGTCAGAATCCAAAGCTGGAAACTGCATCCTACTTAATCTTTATGTTTTTTGAAAAAGTTTATCTTTCTTCCCGGGAATAAAAACATCTATTCTCTGAGGCACATGTAAGCATTTATCCTTCAGTATAATGAACTTTTTTAGTCATATTGTTAATGACAAGCTTACATAAATTTTTTTCTGCTCCCACCTTCAAAGCTCCAAGCCCTGTATTCTTACAGGATGATATTCATAAACTATTCGACCTTAGCTTCCCTCCACTTAAGCCTTTCTTGCTCAGAATCACTCCTTTTATTAGTTATCTGTTGATGCTTAACATATTACCTCCAAAACTTAGTGGATTAAAACAACAAACATTCATTATGCCAACTTCTCTGGGTCAAGAACTATATCAGAATTAGTAAGGCCCTCTAGCTCAAGGACTCTCATAAGGCTGCCATCATTTAAAAGCCTTACTTAGGGAAGATTCACTTCTAAGATTAATCATGTGGCTGGGGGCAGTCCCCAGGTCCTTCCTTGCTGGCTGTGACTGGTGACACTGGCTCCGTGCTATGTGGACTTCTTAATAGGCAGCGCCCAACATAGAAGTCAGCTTCCCTTACAATGAAAGAGAGAGAGAGGATTCCCAAGACAGAAGCCACAGTCTTTGTGCAATCTAATGTTGGAAGTGATATCCATCACTTCTGCCACAGTCTATTTGATAGTGAAGTGAGATAAATTCAACTAGGACAACAGAGTAGAAGATTCCTCAAGGAGTTACCTCTACCAGGGGTACAAGTGACATGGAGCAATTTTAGAGGCTGCTTACCAAACCCATGAAATGTATAATGACAAAACATGATATTCCTCTTAAATGACTAAATAAGCACACCACTCTTTGATCAATCTCCTGTCTGTTCAGTGTGGCAACAATTCCCACTGCAGCTGTTCTCCTGCCTCACTAGGACTTTCAATCCACTGGTGCCTCAGCCTTTGCCTATAGCATTATGATCCTCCTGCGGTCAGTTACTCCCACAAGCAAACTAACAATGGCTCTTCTCAACACTGGCTTTATGTTAGAATTGCCTGAGGAGGTTCCAAAGATACATATGAGTGCCTTGGCCCCAATTGAGATTGGCTGACCCAGTGTCTCTGGGACCTGGCATTCTATTATGATACTAATATGCAGCAATAGTTGGGAATCGATATTGTAGATTCAATTACTGAATATTTTAAAATGTAATTGCCAGTAACATAAAACCAGAATTGACATACTGCTTCCCTTGGGCTAAATACAATCCATCACCTATTTTTTAAATAAATTCTTATTGGAACGCAGCCACATTTTCTTATTGTCCATGGTTGCTTTTGCAGAACATGGGAGAACTGAGTACTTCCTACAGAGACAATATGGCTCACAAAATAAAAATATTTACTATCTGGCCCTTTGCTTAAAAAAAATTAATGAGTTTTGACCTATCCCCTTTCACATCTTCATTTTTCTCTCTCTCTTTCTCCCTCTCTCTCTCTCTCCCTCGGTTGCTTTTGGTTTTGTCCTTTTTAGAAGCACATTGCAACCTCTTCTCTAGATGAACTCAACTATCTGATTTCTGCATATTTCTCAGTCCATGACTGCTGCTGAAGAATGCCATGCAAGAAAACAAACTGATAATATTTTAAGACAATGATCACCATTGGAAACCGGGTTTTCAATTGTGCCTGACATAACTTTTTCAATCTCTACAATCCTCTAATTTCTGACACTCTCTTCTCCCTTCTCACTTCTCTCTCTCTGCAGATGACTTTGCTACTGCAACACAGAGAAAATATAAGTCTTTATACTCATAGTCTTTCAACTACCTGGCACTAAATCAATATACCTGTCTCCATTTGCAACTATTATCTTTCTCCCTGATCCTGTCAAGATGATCTTACTCTTTGTTGTAGGCTACTTTCCTCCTCTGACTTCAGAATTAGTTCTCACCTGACATTAAGAGGAAATTTACATTGTTACCAATTTCTCTACTGAAAATCCAACTTTTTATTTCCACGTAGATGCTTCCCATCGTGGTTTCCATGGACTTTATTGTCTCAATGATTGTCATTTTAGATCTATAACTCTTTTTCTGAGCTTTGGGTCTATATAAGCCAAATTTCTGCTCAACGGAGCAACCATATCCCCACTTTAATTGGACAAGTCTCTCCAGAAAATAAATCTCCTATTTCCTGTTGTGTTAAATGAAGAATAATTACTAAGGTATTCAGTAATGATAAAGAATCTGGGAATTTAACTGTTCTTGATATGAAATTTCAAACTACACACTTTTTTTGGGGGGGAAGCCAAACCCACCTCCAGCATTTTATTCCCACACATGATAAGCTTGTCCAAGGTGTGTGTGGTTTGGATGACTTTATATTTTGTTAGCTTTCCTCTTCCCTCTACATATGGACACTATGTTTTGTCAAAAGGAAACGTGTACACTGGTTGCTTGTTAAAAATAGCAAGGAAGACTATTCAGGACTATAGCAATGGGGGAATAATATAGCTATAGTAGAGAGAGATTGAACTAAAATTTCTCCCAGCATGGAGCTGGAAATTTATAAGCAAAGAGCTGAGGGAGTGAGTCAGTGGATAGAAACTAATTAGATATTAAGGGTGGCGGGGGGTGGGGTGGCGGGGAGCGGGGTTCTTGCTAAACTGCATTATTGCTAAAGGCATGCCAAAGTGATAAGATATCCAGGGCGAAGTGATTCTCAGTGAACTGGCTTAGCAGGCGTCTTTGTTAAACTGGGCCTGAGAAGAGGGACTGGAGAAGAATGATTAAACTTTGGTCAAGATGGGAATCTGTCAGTTTTGGCCTTCTCTAATCTATGTCGTTACGCTGCTCGAGAGCTTGCTAAGATGTATTCAAGAAGGCTAGTGTATTAGCTTGTTCTCACACTGCTGCTATAAAGAAACACTTGAGATGGGGTAATTTATAAAGCAAAGAAGTTTAATTGGCTCGCAGTTCTGCAGGCTGAACAGGAAGCATAGCAGCATCTGCTTCTGGGGAGGCTAAAGGGAGATTTTACTCATGGCAGAAGGCAAAGTGGAAGCACGAATCTTGCGAGGCAGAAGCAGGACTGAGAGGAAGAGAAAAGGTGCCACACACTTTCACCAACCATATCTCATGAGGACGCTATCATGATACAGCATCAAAGGGGGAAATCTGCCCCCATGATCCAGTCACCTCCCACAAGACCCCACCTCCAACACTGGGGATTACAATTCGGCATGAGATTTGGTAAGGGACACAGATCCAAATCATATCAGCTAGTAATAAAGTGTATTAAGATTTAGGAGTTGATATGGTTTGGCTGTGTCCCCACTCAAAATCTCATGGTGAATTGTAAACCCCATAATCCCCACATGTCAAGGGAGAGACCAGGTGGAGGTAATTGAATCATGGAGGTGGTTTCTCCCAAGCTGTTCTCATGACAGTGAGTGAGTTCTCTCGAGATCTAATGGTTTTACAACTGTTCGGCAAGTTCCTCCTCCCATCCTTCTTTTTCCTGCCATTTTGTGAAGAAAGTGCCTGCCTCCCTTTCACCTTCCACTACGATTGTAAGTTTCCTGAGGCCTCCCCAGTCATAGGGAACTGTGAGTCAATTAAACCTCTTTCTTTTATAAATTACTCAGTCTCAGGTATTTTCATATAGGAATGTGAGAAAGGACTAATACAGGAATCTTCAAGGACATCCCATCCAAATTAAAAGTTGTGTATCACTTGCTTCTTTGACCTCATCTACTGTATTAATTACATTTATATGTATATACACACACACACACACACACACACACATATGCAAACATATATATATATCAGCTTTACTAAATGGTCTCTATATTCTCAGTTTTATTGTTTCATTAGGAAAAGAAATTGGCTGGGATATTGGTAACAGTATATTTCTGCTTATGCTGTAATACCCAAGTTGAAACATTTGATAGAAATTGATTGATGCTTGTTACCTGATGTTTTAAAATAAGGGCTAAATAGTTATATATCTCAATATTATCGTTATCCTGGATGTGACAGGGTACAGATGTGACAATGCATGTTTTTATAGTGTGTTCTACTGGTGATTCAAATAACTAAGGTATTGCCATTGGCAACATAATTTTTGTAAATATTGAAAGACTCTGGGAAGTTTCTACAATAAAAAGACTTTTTCTCTTCAATTTCCGTAGTGGTTGCATTCTGAAAAATTTAGTTTGTATTAAGCCATTCAAAGTATTTACATGTAAAATATTCATTTCTTGACTAAATAATTACAGATGATCACTTACGTGGCTATCCATTGGGGCATTTGATGGGAATATTTTTTACAATGTAGGATCGCAGGATATCTAGTATTGTTTGTCCTCACATTGGAAATACAATTACTGCCTTCTGATCGTTTTGACAATGGAGACACTCAAGCATTTCTAAACAGAAAAAGCTGGTACAAGCACACTTGAAGCACAATACATCTGAAAGGCACATGAAGAGTTCAATAAAATGTTTAACAACTGAAAAGACTGCAGAAATAAATTTAAGTATTCTGTCTACACTAAAATCCAAATGTAAATTATATTAGAGTTGCAGCTATTTAATACGCTATTTCAGCATTCACATGCTATTTTCTTTTTCTATTCAGATGTTTTTTCCACTGCCAGACACTTTCTAACAAGTCCTTCAAACCCTCTTTATAATAACTTATGAAAATATTTGTTACATTATGCTCAATGATTTCCTCAATTAAAATGATATATAAAATAAGAACAAGTGAGAGGAAAAAAACATAGTTTGTGCATCTGTTTTGTGATAAATATAGTAGTTAGATCTATTTTATATAAGTTTTCTCATTAAGCCCACATCAAACTTTTTCTCCTGTATTTTTTAAATGGAAAATGTGAGGTTGATAGGAGTTAATTAACTCTACTAATAGCTGACGGAAATGAAACTATCATTACTGAGAACTATGGTTGGTTTTTACAATTATTTCATTTTTTGTTGGTTTGTTTTTGTTTTTGTTTTTTGAGATGGAGTTTCGTTCTTGTTGCCCAAGCTGGAGTGCAATGGCGTGATCTCAGCTCACTGCAACCTCTGCCTCTTGGATTCAAGTGATTCTCCTGCCTCAGCCTCCTGAGTAGCTGGGATTACAGGCACGTGCCACCACGCCCAGCTAATTTTGTATTTTTGGTAGAAATGGGGTTTCTCCATGTTTGTCAGGCTGGTCTCGAACTCCCAACCTCAGGTGATCCACCCACCTCCGCCTCCTAACGTGCTGGGATTACGGGTATGAACCAGCATGCCCGGCCAATCTATATCTTTTAAGTGTGAAATGCTTTCAGAAAAATATTTCAACCAAAAGGGAGAAATGTGGAAGTTGTGAGCACCAAAATGGAGTCACTTACATCAAACCATAAAAAAATGAAGCTGGGAGGCCATGAAAGAGGGGCCTTCATGTACATATGTCTATAATAAGAACTGCTGCAATGGTTCTCTCAAAAACCACGAAAATGTTAGATATGATAATTCTATGAAGACATCTCTCCAGCAACAGCCAATATTATCAATGAGTATTTGCCAGCTCTTGTAACAAGCTTCTCTGGCCCATGAGGTTTATTACAAAACTTACATAAAATTTCTCTTTTAAGATTTTTGCCTTCCTGATATGGTTTAGATTTGTGTCCCCACCCAAATCTCATGTCGAATTGTAATCCCCAATGTTGGAGGAGGGGCTTGGTGAGAGGCGATTGGATCATGGGGGTGGATTTCCTCCTTGCTGTTCTTGTGATAGTGAGTTCTCATGAGACCTGCTTGTTGAAAAGTGTGTGGTATTTCCCCTTTGCCCTCTTCCCCCTGCTTCGGCCATGTAAGACGTGCCTCCTTCCTTTTTGCCTTCTGCCATCATTGTAAGTTTCCTGAGGCCTCCTCCAATCATGTTTCCTGTACAGCCTATGAAATCATGAGTCAATTAAACCTCTTTTCTTCATAAATTACCAAGTCTCAGGTAGTTCTTTGTGCTAGAACAAACTAATACAGTCCCTCAGCTTCTTTGGTGCCTAAGGTCCACCATAGCATGTGTATTTCAAATTGCAATTTACTGCTATTTCCTGAATACACTCCACTCTTTATTTTAGAGAGTCAGTATCTCTGTTGTTTAAGTTGACATAATCTAATGTCAGAAGCAAGATGCAAAGGCTCCAAGCCTTCTTTGTTACTTACAGTTACAGCACTGTTATCCAAACAGTAACAAAGAAAGCCTTTGGAAGGCTTTCAAGTATCTGGCGATACTTGAAATTGTGTATGATACTCACCTGAGCCTATTGTGATCTTCACTTGTACAAGTTGTCTTTATGCTGCGAGATAAGTCCTCTCTTGGTTTGAGCTCCCACCTTTTCAGTGAACTCTTACATTTTGGGGGATCTGCTCTTGTAAAGGACATCCTTTCTGGTGAGTATTCTTTTGGTTTAATTTTTGGTTTGGTTATTTGTGCATGAATTTAATCTCATTAGGAAACAAGTTAAGTTGAATAGACCAACTAGTGAATTAATCCGTCTCCAAAATATATGTTTTTGGCATTTACCTGTTTATTTTGAAACTCTTTGTAAGAAATGTAAACCTGTAATGATAATCTCTGCTTTGTAAGGATATCTCCCTCTCTGACACCTAAACACTAGATGCTTTCACAAAGCAAAAGGAAGAGACCTAAATCTATCTATCTGTGTAAACTCACCCTTGACCATTTCATTTTGAAGGCTTCCTATATATGCTTTTTTTCATCTCAACAAATAGTGGTGTTTAAGTTCTGTACCTTTGAGATTTAAATTTTCTACATTCCTTCACCTAAAAATCATCTCTTTGGAAGTACAAATTTTGGGTGGCCTAACTAACACTTGTTTATGGGCCAATTGAACAGATCATTAAAAGACAGATAGTCTGAAAGAGGGAGTAAAACTACTTGCAAGCCAGGCAAATAACAATTCTTAATGCAAGTTGTAAGTTCTTCCTCTGTCTGTATTTTTCTACGTGTGTGTGTGTGTGTGTGCGTATGTACAATTTTTTCTACCAAAATTCATAAACGGCTCTACTTAATTGGCTTACAGAGAAAACATAAGTGTTTAAACTAAGAATTCTCTCAGAAAAACAGAAACTCAATTGCCTTTTGGCTTATGTGATGAAATAATCTTTGGCAGACAAAGCTAGTTTTAAAATTTGTTGGCAAAATAAAAACAAATATTTTCAGAATTGTCAGCATTAATTACAATGTACAGATACAGTTTTTAAACCTAAAGTTACTGGTGAAACAAGCTTGCTATTACTGAGATGTATAATGAATGTCTTAAAGCTATAAATCCACTCATCGTTGTGTTTAAGGAGGAACTGAAGCACAATTGTTAAGAACAAGTGAATTAGGTGAATATACATTGACAAAAGGTTGATAATAAAGTTGTCAGAATTTCAAAAATAATTTAGTGTGACTTGAAATCTTAAAATCATGTTATATTAAATTAAGTAACACTTTACTGATTTAATATTTGAGTCATTTCTAAGGAAAATACTGAAATATCAATTGCTTAACAGAAGTTTAAAATATACGTAATTTGGCATCTTGGTTTCACATGTTATGGAAAAGCTAAACATATTTGGGCCTGTTAATTAAAGGCATAAAAATTATTTTATGAGATGGTGTTCATCTGCAAAATACTAACATGATGCACTTCAAAATGCTTACTAATTTTCACTAGAAATTAAGGTTACTAAGAGTTAATTAAAATTAATATTAGAGTAATTTAAACTAGAAATAATGAAGGGAAACAAATCTGTACGCGAGGGAAGGAAAACACATAAAGAAAGTTATAAGTAAGAGGTTGTGTTTTTGTTAAGGGAAAAAGAGAGTATTTTTTGTCTAAAAGTAGAATGTCTTACTGTTCCAAAAAGAAAAAGAGAAAAAATATAGACAAAAACTGAATAAGATAACTGGATGACAAATTTATAGAAAGTTTGTGGAAGATTAATCTTGTGAAAAGAATTTTATGTGTGACCAAGTTGGCTAAAGTTAAAAGGAAATTATTTATAAATATTCTGAAAACTTGAGCATTATTATCAAAAGTACAGGAATGGAAAACTTGAAATTTGTCCCCTGTGCTGAAACAACAAGCTTTTCTTTGAGTATTGACCTGCTCTTAATAGAAAATAGTGAAATGTTTTCTCTACCTTTTAGATAACTGGCCTAATAAACCAAGATTTTTTGTTTATCAAGGTAATTTCTTATGCTTTATGCTCTCTTTTACTAGGTCTTTGATTACTTGAGAAAAGTGAGTGAGGTGGGGCCAAGATGGTTGACTAGAAGCAGCTAGTGTGTGCCACTCTCACAAATAGCAGAAAGAGTGGTGAGACACTAGCTCTTCAACCGGAACATCCAGGTGGACACATAAGGATTCATCAGTGACATAGTGTGACCTTCGGATCACGGAGAAGAGTGAGACAGATCAGCCATTCACCCAGGAGTGGCACAGACCCAGGGGAATCCCCCTACAAGAAAATGGTGAGTGAGTGAGAGTCCCGTGGGATGCATATTTCTGCCACGAACCTTTGAATCCCTGGGCTCAGGAGATACCCCAGCTGGGGTCTCCAGACCAAAACAGAGAGCCATGTGGAGTCTGGGTAGAGCTGCTTCTTAGGTAGGTGTGGAGTCCCAGTAGCATTTGTTCCCTGGGTACCCCAAAACCAGGGGCTGCAGCTCCAGCAATTGGGAAGGCCAAGTTTTCTTGCACGCTCCCCAGAAAAGGGGCCAAGTCCATGGGGCTGAGCAGTGATAGACTGCAGACCTCACCACCACTGAACCTTGTAGGATAAGGCCCACTAGCCTGGGATGCTAGTGAGGCCACCCTAGTCCTCCTGAGTTCTCCAGCTGGGAGCAGCTCTACACTTCTCCGGCATGCAGCTCCCAAAGAGAGAGGCAGTCCACCTTTTTGCTGTCTCGCAACCCTCCCTCCTGCTGCTCTCAGGCTTGGGAGGGTGCACAGCAATTAGGGACTATCACAGAACCCCAGCACAGTGCATCTGGTGAACTTAAAAAAATCAACAAGTGAAAAACAAACAATCCCATTTAAACGTACACAAAGTACATGAACGGACACTTTCAAAGGAGGGCATACATGTGGCCAGAAAGCATATGACAAAATGCTCAACATCACTAATCATTAGAGAAATGCAAATCAAAACCACAATGAGATACCATCTCACACCAATGAGAATGGCTATTATTAAAAACTCAAAAAATAAGAGATGCTAGTGAGGTTGTGGAGAAAAGGGAATGATTATACAGTGATGGTGGGAATGTAAGGTAGTTCAGCCATTGTGGAAAGCAGTGTGGCCATTTCTCAAAGAACTCAAAGCAGAAGTGCCATTCAACTCATCAATCCTACTATTGAGTATATACCAAAAGAAATACAAATCATTCTACCATAAAGACACATGCACGTGTATGTTCATTGCAGCACTTTTCACAATAGCAAAGACATGGAATCAACCTAAATGCCCATCAGTGGTAGACTGGATGAAGAAATGTGGTAGATATACAACATGGAATACTATGCAGCCATAAAAAGAATGAGATCATCTCTTTTCCAGCAACATGAGTGGAGCTGGAGGCCATTATCCTAGAAAACCCAATACCATATGTTCTCACTTATAAGGGGAGCTAAACATTGAGTACATATGGACACAAATGGAACAACAGACACTGGGCCTACTTTAGAGTGGAGGGAGGAAGGAGGATGAAAATTTAAAAATTACCTACTGGGTACTATGCTTATTATCTGGGTTATGAAATAATCTATACACCAAACCCCGTGACACACAATTTACCCATATAAATGCGTAAGTAACCCACATGTGTACCCCTGAACCTAAAATAAAAGTTAAAAAAAGAGAAAAGTAAATGTTCTCAGTATTAAAAAGCTATGTTTTTGTTGACAATTATGTAAATTTCTACATTTATTTTTTGAAATCTTTTAATTTTCATTTTGGTTACCTGTTATCGTACTCTGATAAAGTGTTTTAAACTGTTTGATGTTTTTGACAAACTTCCCAAAATAATATTTTAAATTAACTCTTTTTGCCCTCAAGTTAATTTTGATATTTCTCATTTGGACCCCTGGAAAGATCAAAGAATGTGTATCTCACATTGTAAAGAGATATATTAAACTAATGAGACTTACTTGATATATTAAATTATATAGGGAGTATTGTCAAATACTAAGTGGTGCTAAACCTTCTTTAAGTTGTATTTCAGAATGTTATTGATATGTGTTACAAAATTATATTGAATTCTTCAAAATCTGATATGTTATCGGTCATAATCTTGGTTATTATCTTCAAGTTTTGTATGCCACAGAAATAAACAAATTTCTTTGTCAATTACATTATTATTATAATAAACTCCATGAGATTTTTAACCATGGCCACTCTAAGTCTGTCATCCACAGGGACCGACTGCTTTCATTCTTTTCCAAAAGCATTTGCCATCAGCTACAATAAAAAATTGCTTCTTCTCTGAAACTGATGACCCATTAAGGTTTAACCCATATACTCCTCTATATACCTCTACAGCCTCCCCAAATCAAGTTGATATATTCCCCTAGCAGTCTGTGCAATGGAGACCAACACTACATTCTTTTAGATTGTTTTAAATTACATTTTTGAACTTCCAGTTTATTACATACCAAGAGTTGATTACAACCTCCTTGTTTCATAAGTGGAAGCTATGTTAGGGTTGGATGTGGGTGCCATAATTTCTTCAAGGATCCTGGACAGAGACCCACATCAGGATCAGAAACCCTACGATAGCATTGCAGATCTCATGGCTCACTAATCCTTGAAGATTATAATTTTCATCCTACTATCAGTTGCACTTTCTGTCACTTTTACTGCATTAAGTCTCCCGGTATCAAACAGAGCTCTGTGGTGTCACTGACTGAGGAATGGAATAGAGATGTCCACAAGGGGTCTTGATATCATGACTGCACAGAGATGTGAAAGGAGAGACCACTTCCTCACCACCCAGCTACTTCACTTCTCTCCCGGTATCAGCCCTATAGTCGGACCTAGGCTTTCAGAAGTGTAAGTGTGCAAACAAGTTTCGGTTGGACTTTAAGAGGACACTTTGTCATAGAAGAAAATCCAGTATCTCTAAGCTGGTTTTCTTTTCAGGAAAACATCCTGAGGGACCAGTAAGCAGGGAGATCCTTTTTCTAGTTTGCCTGTAGAGTTAGGAAGACAGTTGATTTTTCAGTCTTTTACAGGATGCTTAAACAAAGCTGTGTAATTACATAAGGTGGATCTTTATCTTGCCTAAGAAGATAAAGTGGGAATCTTCACTCCGCCAGGGCAAATTTCCAAGGAGCTCATTTATTCCATGTCTTTCAAACTTTCATGAGATACATTTCTCTTTCACATTGTTGCTGATTTCCAAACAGCTGTCAGCTAGTTTTTTCCTCCCCCTTTCCTATTCTTCACTATTTTGATAGCAAAGCTCATAGAATTAGAGGACTTAGAAGATGCTTTGTAAACATTGCCACAAAGGAACTGCTGAAATGATTCACAGGAAGACTGGTCAGTTGGGAGAAAGATCCTAAAGATGTTACACTGGTTTTCAACAACATGCTTAGAGAATTCTTGAAGCAGATAGGTGTCAACCCAGTGAAAACAACATTTTGATTTATTTTTTTTTTTAAGTTTATGGTGATTGTGTCGGTTTCTAAAATAAGCAAATATTCAAGTCAAGAGATGTTTTGTTTTTTCTTCTGCCAAGAATGGGGTTAGGGGAGCAAAGACACAATTTGGGAAAGGACATATGTGCTATTATAGGGATCACCTTTAAGTTTCTGGGAAGGAATGGGCACGGGTGAGTAGGTTGGCTCAACATTGTCCTGCACTGCTTATTAGGACCTGAGACGTGCAAGGGAAATGTGGGTGACATCAGGGCACCCAGGGCACAGCCCCACTAACTGCTGTGCTGAGTTTCTGTAGCCTGCCACGTTTCCCTTGGTGAAGTAAATGAAGATCAAGGAGTCATTTTATGATGTCCTGGTGCTGAGAATAATAAATGTCTTGTTACAAACAGATGTAACAATGGTTTTTTTCTGGATTATTATCAGGGTGGTCAGCTCTGGGTTAAGCACCCACATCCAATTTGTACAATAATATTGATACATAGGGCTACGCTTATTACTGCTCAAGCATTCTGTTTTAATAATTGTGTTTTACTTCTAAAGGTTAAATAAAAGCAAAAAATGGGGCTAAACTATCAAACTGTTCCCCTATTTGTTTTCTCCAGTGTACAACATATATATGTATATATTTTATTTTATTGAAGATGCAGTAGGATACCTGCCATTTAAGAAAATAAATAGAAAATTTAAAATCCCAACAAATGAGAAAAAGAAATTCAGTACCCAAGAATAGGGCTGGTCCAGCACCACCCCGAAGTAGGCTGTGGTTTATGGAGTGAAGAGCCTTGCTCCCTTTACATTCGCTCATGCTCCCACACAAGGCTAGCAGTAGAAATGCTTGAATTCTGCTTGGCTTGCCAAGGGGACTCAGGAGTCAACCAAGGGAACTATTTGGCTCCACGAGGAATGGACACCTCAGGATGCTTCCTGAACAGGGCCTAGTCAGGAAGTAGCCTGGATGTGCATAGTCATGGTCACCTTATGAAAATGTGTGGCAGGTGGCTCTCAGGAAAAACACCAAGCCTGGATCATCTGTGTGGCAGCTTTGCCTGGGGAGGTAACAGCTCCAAATTGAAACTGAACTGCATCCTACATGCTTTACCAAAGCAGTGATGAGAGTGATCAGTGCATGTGGTGTGAGTGGTAGGTTTACAAAAAAGGGAATGTTTTTTTTTTTTTTTTTTTTTTTTTTTTTTTTTTTTTTTTGAGACGGAGTCTCGCTCTGTCGCCCAGGCTGGAGTGCAGTGGCGGGATCTCGGCTCACTGCAAGCTCCGCCTCCCAGGTTCACGCCATTCTCCTGCCTCAGCCTCCCAAGTAGCTGGGACTACAGGCGCCCGCCACTACGCCCGGCTAATTTAAAAAAAGGGAATGTTTTACGCTCAGTGTTTCCTCTGTCTTTGGGCTACTCAATCTGGACAATAGGTAACCATTCTTTTCAAGGAATCAACCCAACTTTGCTGGCTTGGTTTGTGGTTTGTTTCATCCCTAGCTATGAGCATGCTTTGGTCTATAAACGTGGCTTGTCTCATAATACATTCCCTTTCTGTAATTTTTTAAATTTTTTATTTCCATAGGTTTTTGGAGAACATGAGGTATTTGGTTACATGAGTAAGTTCTTTAGTGGTGATTTGTGAGATTTTGGTGCACACATCACCCGAGCAGTATACACTGAACTCAATTTGTAGTCTTTTACCCCTCATGCCTTTCCCACTCTTTCCCTTGAGTCCCCAAAGTCCACTGTATCATTCTTATGCCTTTGCATCTTCATAGCTTAGCTCCCACTTAAGAGTGAGAACATGCAATGTTTGGTTTTCCATTCCTGAGATACTTCACTTAGAATAATAGTCTCCAATTCCATCCAGGTTATTATGAATGCCATTAATTCATTCCTTTTTATGGCTGAGTAGTATTCCATCACATATATGTATTTATGCATATATATATATATATACATATGCATATATATATACATATACATACACACACACACACACACACACACACACACACACACACACATAAATATATACCACAGTTTATTCACTCATTGATTCACGGGCATTTAGGCTGGTTCCACATTTTTGCAATTGCTAATTGTGCTGTTATAAACGTGCATGTGCAAGTATCTTTTTTGTGTAATGACTTCTTTTCCTCTGGGTAGATAACCAGTAAGATTGCTGGATCAAATGGTAGTTCTACTTTTATGAATTGTCCTTGTTTTTCTTTAAAAGTTAATACTTTTGATCACTATAGTTTGTTAGTGTTGGATTGTTTCCACTTTGAAATTTCTAAACTTTTTCCCTTCATAATGTTAAAACAAGTTATGTTAGATGCCCTTTCAACATGAAAGGTCTGTAGTTAAGATATTACATATATTTTATTGTTTATAATAAAAATCTAGACATAAGAAGTGCCAAGTGTTAATTATAATATTTTGCACAGTATCTTTTTTCCCATGATGTGTTAATATCTACAATTTCATTAAATGTTGATGTTATTCTCTATTGAGATTCAGAAGCCTAGGGAGCTATGTGTTCATTTTGGTTATTTTTGTTGTTATTTCCCTGAAGCAAAAGACTACATGGCCTTCAGTGCAACAACCTCAGTCCAATTCTGAAGTTTATTATACTTGCTTGCCTCTTGGCTATTTAACTTCTGAGTGCAAATCATTGAACTCCCTAATGAAGTATTGTAGAGAATAAATTAAAATGAATAAAGAAAAATACTTCCTCTTCAAGGAGGTTCATGAAAAGGACTCTAACAAGTATGCTGGAATTTAGATTTCTTATGAGTTTAAGATTATACCACTGGACTGGGAAAGAATTTCCAGGACTCTAATGAAGAAACGATGGCTTCTTAAAACATCTAACCCAGATCAAGTAGAATAAGTTTAATGAATGGGACTAAACAAACTGATGGCAATATTTTCGAGTGACTTTTTGTTTAACATTTTGCTGTTTTTTTTAAATTTTTTGTTTTCCAGATTTGAGAAAACTTTTAAAAAGCTATCTATAGCATACAGCAATTTGGTAAAGTATACTTTTATAAATAAAAATGGAAATATTTATTTTTTCTTCCTACCTGCGGCTGCAGTCTTCAGAGAGCTCTTATTGATATTTTTATTTTATGGCAACATAGTTATTTGCATTAATTCAATAAAAATCTATTCTCTTTGTAACAGGATAGAATTACAAACATTGGTTATATTATAAATGGTTTGACTTGAATGTGATATTTGAGACTATGCACAGGATGCCTAGCTTCAAGGATTCCCAAGCTCACAGTGAGTGAATAAACATTTTTACCTCTTGACAGGCCAGGAACCTCCAGATATATTGGAGACCTCAAGAAGAGAGAAATTCATGCAGATTTTTAGATACTGCAGCCAAAGTCTGATGTTCGCCCTCCTTTGACTTCTGACCCTTGAAAGGCTTTTAAAAGTCTAATCTGAGATTTCTTATCAAAAGTTCCGTCAAAATAAACTTAAAAACAGCCCATGTTTCATCCCTTTTCTTGCTATACTGTTGTCAATAATCATGCCAAGTTTAATGAGACTAAACTTATTCAGCAGACAAATTAGTCTTACTCTGATTATCTTTAGTAGAAATAGGGATGATTGTACAGAGAAAAATTATGTTTCTGAAGAAAAACTGCAGTACACCTGTTAGTAGATTGTAGTTTTCTTTGTTGTTTTCAAGTTTTTGTCATCTATCTCTAAATTAGACAGGGCACTTAATTATTCTAATTTCCTCCAACGTCTGGCTACGATTCTCCAACTAAGAACATAAACTGCCTTGTTCCTAAAGTCCTATAAGTTGGAGCCAGAAAACTCCATGTAAATTTCAAGAGAGAAATCTCATGGCTATTGTGTGGGCTACAAAGAGAATTGACTAAAATGCCCCATGCTATACCCAGGAACATTCAAACTACAAACCAGAGTAAGAAGTTGATGACATCACAGTGTGGAAAGCTTTTCCCAAGACATTGTAACAAAACTGGACTCTTATCCTTCTTATTTTTTTTTTTCTTGCTTATGCCTACATTTTTCACTTGGCAGAATAACGCTGTGGTTAGAATTTCACATTCAGTAGCTTCCGTAACTGAATGAAGTTTTGGATCTGTCGTGTCAAACCCACATCTTTACATGACCTAAGGGATCCTTTAGTCCACCCAGTGGGTAACTATGGCAACATCCCTAATTTATTTGCCACCTTGGGTTTCGTTGCAGGCTTCACTGCAAAGGCTATTGCCGCCCAGCAGTGCTCATTAAAGTATCTTGCTGAGTAGCCGTAGATAACACAACAGGACAGGATGAGATAACTCTCAATTATCTACTGGTTGAACAAGAATGTCTGTGCCATTGCTAATAACTACATGCTGTACCTGAATATATTTCTCTGGGGAAGTCAAGACCTAATTGCATAAAATAGCAAGACAGGCTTTATGGCTACAACAGATCTCACTCAGTCTCACGTAGACTTTTGATTCATTAGTTGGCTGCCTTTGGGTCCATGTTCATAGACAATATTTCATGTTACTATTAATTTTGTACCGCATCATTCTTTTTAAACTTTTTATCTGTTTCCTGTCCAACCTCTGCAGAAATGATGCATCTAACAGAATAACACTGGTCCAGAACTTCCAAATGGTAGTCAATGCCTATGGAACTGACAAAATTGAACTTAGCAATGAACTCCAGGCAGATTTATCCTGAGAGCCACTCCTTCTGAACCTCTTTGTTTCTTAAATGTGACTAAAAGGGTTTTGACATCTGCTCTTAGTTGCTGGCCATTCACCTCTGATGCAGGATCAGACTAACTAGGAAAGGTCCACTCCAGCACCAAGAAACAATCAAAACCTAACTATAGGCTGATTAATCAGCAATGCTTTCAGAAAAAATTCTTGGTCAAAGGGGGGAAATGTTAAAGTTACAAGCAAAGAAGTTGACTCACTGAAGTCAAACCACAACAAAATGGAGCTGGGAGAGTATAAAAGAAGGCCCTTCATGCATGGATGTCTCTAAAAGAACTATTGCAAGGACTCCCTGAAAACTACAAAAATTTTAGATACGACGCTTCTATGAAGACATCTTCCCAGCAATAGCCAGTATCACCGATGAGTATTTGTCCATACCAAGCAATAAGCTTCTGGGGCCAAAGAGGTTTATTTTAAAATAATTTACATGAACTTCACCTTTTTTTTTCTTTATTTCTTCTTCTTCTTCAAAAAACAAACAAAAGTGATATATGTGCAGAACGTGCAGGTTTGTTACATAGGTATACGTATGCCATGGTGGTTTGCTACACTTTTCAACCTATCATCTAAGTTCCCTCCCCTCACCCCCCAACCTCCAACAGGCCCCAGCGTGTGTTGTTTCCTTCTCTGTGTCCATTTGTTCTCAATGTTCGAATCCCACTTACGAATAAGAACATGCGGTATTTGGTTTTCTGTTCCTGTGTTAGTTTGCTGAGGATGATGGCTTCCAGTTTCATCCATGTTTCTGCAAAGGACATGCTCTCATTCCTTTTTTATAGCTGCATAGTATTCCATGGTGTATGTGTACCACATTTTCTTTATCCAGTCTATCAGTGATGGGCATTTGGGTTGGGTCCATGTCTTTGCTATTGTAAATAGTGCTGCAATAAATATATACACGTATGTTCCCTTACAGTAGAATGATTTATATTCCTTTGGGTATATACCTAGTAATGGGATTGCTGGGTCAAAAGGTATTTCTAGTTCTAGATCCTTGAGGAATGCCCATACTGTCTTCCACAATGGTTGAATTAATTCACTTTCCCACCAACAGTGTAAGAGCATTCCCATTTCTCCACATCCTCTCCAGTATTTATTGTTTCCTGACTTTTTAATAATCTCCATTCTAATTGGCGTGAAATGGCATCTCATTGTGGTTTTGATTTGCATTTCTCTGGTGATCAGTGATGTTGAGCTTCTTTTGTATGTTTTTTGGCCACGTAAATGTCTTTTTTTGAGACGTGTCTGTTCATATCCTTTGCCCACTTTTTGATAGCGTTGTTTGTCTTTTTCTTGTAAGCATGTTTAAGTCCCTTGTAAATTCTGGATATTCGATCATTGTCAGATGGGTAGATTGCAAAAATTTTTTCCCAGTCTGTAGGTTGCTTGTTCACTTTGATGATAGTTTTTTTTTTTTTTTTTTTTTGCTGTGCAGAAGCTCTTTAGTTTAATTAGATCCCATTGTCAATTTTGGCTTTTGTTGCAATTGCTTTTGGCATTTTTGTCATGAAGTCTTTGCCCACCATGCCTATGTCCTGAATGTTGTTGCCTAGGTTTTCTTCTAGGGTTTTTACGGTTTGGGGTTTTACATTTAAGTCTTTAATCCATCTTGAGTTAATTTTTGTATAAGGTGTAAGGAAGGGGTCCAGTTTCAGTTTCCTGCATATGGCTAGCCAGATTTCCCACATTATTACTGAATATGAGATCCTTTCCCATTGCTTGTTTTTGTCAGGTTTGTTGAAGATCAGGTGGTTGTAGACGTGTGGTGTATTTCTGAGGTCTATGTTCACCTTCATTGGTCTATATGTGTGTTTTGGTACCAGTTCCATGCTGTTTTGGTTACTGAGGCCCTGCAGTAATGAAGTCAGGTAGTGTGATGCCTCCAGTTTTGTTCTTTATGCTTAGGATTGTCTTGGCTATATGGGGTCTTCTTTGATTCCATATGAAATTTCAAATAGGTTTTTCTAATTCTGTGAAGAATGCCAACGGTAGTTTGATGGGGAACTTCACCTTTTACCCTTAAAAAAGCTTCGGCTCCCCCAGCTTTTTCAAATGTGCCTATGGTTCAGTACGGTACACATATCCCAAATTGCAGTTCATTGCTCTTCCCAGATAAACTATTTTGAAAAGTCAGTCTCTCTGCTGTTTATTTTAATAATTTTTAATAGAAGTACATCTTTCTTAAAAGCATAGCAAAAATTTTAAGTACATTCACAATAATAATAATTAGGAAACAAATGATCATTGCTTTGATTTTAAGAATTATTAATTTCTTTAATTTTTCAAGTTGAAATATAGAACATGTTTTATTTAGTTACCAATTTATTTCTGTATTTTTCATGAAACAATTTACTTTGGTAAGAAATTTCAAGGAATCTGTGGCATAAATACATATTTGGTCAATGTTCCTTGACCCAAAGTATTAAGGCTGGGTTGTATTTAATTCAGTGACTAAGTAATTTAGTCAGGTTATTCAATAAATTAATGAGGTAATAATCTATAAATTGTTATAATCTGTAAATCTATAAATCATATGTAAAATTGTATTATAAAAAGCAAATGAGTCTTTCTAACAATAGCTAGTTCCGACAATAAAATAACTTCACTTTTAGTTAGCAAGCCCGTATTACATTTCTAAATATTGAAGTCTGTGCAGTAGTTAATGAACTTTTAGTCAATTATTGAGAAAAAAACTTTTAGTACAGTAGAAGATATAAAAAACATGATTGAGCTCAATTTCTCTTTTTTAAAAAATCACTGATTTCTTGGTCAAACTTTTGCTTCTTTTGGAACTTTTGAACTTTGTGGCCATGTGAAATGGCACTCTGAAACTTCTAGTAGACTCAAATTGAGGTAACTTTCTTGCTCACGACAATTTTATGTCCGGTTTCTAATATAAGCCATTATTTCTAACACATGCCATGGTTCCATGTTTGAACTAATGTTAATACCACCTGCCCCTACATGACTGAGTCTGAGCACATCCCTGGGCCACATCAAGCACCATGGCAGATTAATCATTCCTTATGGTTTTAACAGGCAAGCTGGGGAAAAAAAATAACTGTCTCCTCCAACTTTGGTTATGCGTGAGTTTCTTACCTTTTAATGGTGAAAAATAAACTTATCTGTCATAGGAGAAAATAACATTACACTCATATGGAAGCAGAGGTGAGAAGTGAAGCCTTAGTAGTGATGTCATCGTTGCCAATTACTGAAGCCAGGAAGTTAGGAATCATCAGTCTTTTTCTTTTGAATTAATGTGACAGTAGTCGAGAGAGAGAAAAAAGTAGGCATGCTGTATGTTATTTAGAGGATAAGATCTATAGATTTGAAATTGATTTGGCATAAACCCACAGGAAAGTGAAGAATCAAGCATGTATTCTAAGCTTCTGGCTTGAGCAAGTGAGCAATCAGCAACATCAGCCCTATGACCTACTAGATTTTTACTGAGGTATACTTTGTAATGTAATAGCTGTGAGAAACTGAATATCATTGAAATTTAGAAAAGGTTATGACAATGTCATTGGGTTAATAGATAGCCTTTTCTTACAAAGATTTGTAAAAAATGAGAGGCCCTAGACATTTGCTGTGTATATTATGCATAAAAATACCACCTCCAGTGAATTCGTTTGGAAAAGAAACTCAAAGCAAGGCCAGACAAAGGAAACAAAAAGAAAAGAAACGAAAGGGAAAGGACAGGGAAGAAAAGGCAAGAAAAAACAAGACAGACAAAAAATTGGAAAAATATGACAGAGAGAGCAAGAATTGTATATATCATAATTTTATAATATTTTAAATTTATAAAATTATTTTTTGACTTTTTTTAATTCAAGAAGACCCTGGATATAAGTCCATCAGTATATAAATAATTGCTAAGAACTGGGACTAAATTTTAAATAAACTACACTGTTGAAAAAGCCAATATTTTCAAGAAAATTGACCAAAAGGTATCCTTGTCTTCATTTCCACTGACATCTTATGACTGCCATATTTTTTCAGCTATGGCTCTTTTTCTACCAATGGCATGTCACAAAAATGTGTGAACCTCTGGTCACTCTAATTAGTCATACCAATATTGCATAATTTTACCTCAGAATGTTTTTTCCAACTACATTCTTTCTCCAGGGGCATTTATATTCAATGTTTTTTCCAGGGGCATTTACATTCTGAATACCGTGCCTCAAAGTCAAACTGGTTAGCATTACAATCTTGTCTGGTATTATATATGCATTTATTAATGTACAAATTGACCTCATAAATAGAATATATTTGTCAGGAGTTTTAGGTCTTGTGTTCCCAACACCTAACAATAGATACTTGTTGAATAAATTATGAAAGGGAAAAATAATTTTTAAGAAATTTTGAAAACTTAAAAAGGAAACAAAGGTGCCACAATGGAAACAAAATTTCACTTTTTTTTCTCTGAGTTTAGAGTAAATCTCAGATTCAAACACATCTGAGGATGTACAATTATCAATTATGTAATTCCAAGGGAAAGTAATTTGTACTTACAGGTTAGATATGATAATCAATTCACTTAATTCTACTCGTTTCCTTTAAAAAAAAAAAAAAGAGGCTGTCAGAAATAATACATCACAGTAAAACCTCCTATCAAACAAGAAAAGATTGTATTTGGGAAAACATTTTCATAGACCTAAATTGAGTAATGTTTCCAACTTACATTTCACCAGTTAAGCTTCCCATTAGAAAATGTGTTTGTATGACACCAGTTCCACTTGCATTTTTTTCCCATAGGTTTCCCAGCAGACGTTTACAATCCTTTAGTGATGTTATAGCCAGAATTGTATTAGGTAATAATATAAAATCCCTAAATTTTATGTACAAACCTTCACTGATATTTTTAGTTATCATGAAAGAATCCTTGTATTTATTTCTATTCTAATTCTCCTCATGTCATTGGTATTTTATATGTATTCATTGTAAACATGTGTTGAATGTTCTAAATTTATACAAGCAAAACAATGTACATATTCTAGAGCTTAATATTTTCCCTCTCCCTGTTTTTTTTTCCGTGGCTTTCTCTTGCTTTCACTATTGCAAACTCTGACCCTGAGAGGCAAGAGTCGTGACCATTTAGTAAGATGTATCGTTGAGTATCATAAAATAGTTGGATAGTCTGCTATTTTTTTATAGTAGCAAAAATAGAATGTTCATATGCTTGCCCACGATTTTTATACATTTTTAAATTTGTCTACCACATGCCTAAATTTACCAAATTAAGTCCGTGTATATAAAACATTTGCACAAATGTTGCTCAAGTTGTCTGAAATAAAAATACATGTATTTTGCAATTTAGAGCACATGACACTAAAGATGTATAGCTCCGTTAACTCACCTTCTGAACAAATTTCAGCAAGAAATTTCAGAATGAATATAAAAAAGTTAAGAAATATTCTAATATATAGTAGCTGAAAAGTTTACAGAAGTAAAGAAGAAAGACACAAATTAGTAGATTCTGAAGAATTATCTATACGAACCCATAACTATTCTCTTTATTTTGGATATTCTATTGTTTCCTTATAATTTGTTTATAAGTTTCCTTATAAATAAACAAATTATAAGGAAACAGTGGAATATCCAAAACAGAATATGCAAGCCAATTAACAATCACCATTTTTACCAACAAAAATATTGAAAGTCAGAAAATTGTGGAATATCTTTGAAGTGCTAATAAATGATAATGGCAAATCTAGAATTTTATGTCAATTAGATTTAGAATTCAAGAGCAGATCAAAATAGAGACATCTTCAGACAATCCAAAAACTGAGAGTTTACTACCAAGAATAGTAACTTTTACAGTATGTACCATAGAATAAAGGATAATTAACTGGATGTAAATTCCAAAATATTAGAAGAAGAAAGGATGTGAAAAAACATATATAAGCAGTCACAATTTTATTTAACAAACACACCAACAATATGTGATTTGTGGGAATAAGAAAAACAACATGAATATAAAATAATGAACAATTTGTAGCAAATATTTTTAAATAATTGCAATTAAAGAGCCCTAAGACTTTGTATTGTTTGGGCTTGGTGTTAGTAAACTTTATATTTTATGTTAATAATGTTTATTAGAATATCAAAATTGCCTAGCAAAAGAAAACTGATAATGTGAATAATTTCCAAAATAAAAGAGATAAGTTACAAAAAATGTTAAAGTAAACAAATGCAAAACAAGGCAAAAAAAAAAAAAAATCAAAGTGAGAAAGACCAGCAAAGTGAATAAAAGGAAGAAAATATGACTTTAAATATAAAAAAATAAATAAATGAAAACCTAAAAAATAACATGCAAGTTGCCAAAAGAAAACGATTTACTTGACTGAATAAAGGTCGTTAAAGGATTTCTTCAGCTGGTGAGCACCAGGCAAACCTGAAGACTAGGTGGTTCCAGACTGAAGTAGGATCAGGCGTCTAACAGAAGTCTGTGGAGTATGCCTGGTTTAGGCTGGACAGATATTTTCTGCTTTAACTGAAGTTGAGTTTAGGTTTTTGGGTTCTTTTCTGTTTGTTTTTGTTTTATCTGTTTATGTTCCACTTTCAGAGTCTCATTATCCATCAGAACAATATTATATGAGAACAGTCTTTGCAGTTGATGGGCTAACCACGTTCCCTGGGTGGGGCAGGGGAAGTAGACAAGAATAGGAATGAAGTGGATGTAAAGGAAGAAGGCAAGGGGCGGGGGATTATTACCCTCTAGTATGTTTGTTTTAATCGCTTTACACGGTTACTAGTTTTCAAATTTACTAAATATTTTATATGATTCAAATCATTAACTGAGAAATTTCTTTCAAATTCAGTGCTCTTTGCAAAGTACTGGCTAGATGTTGGAATCCAAAAATGAACTGTGAAAAAAGGCCCGTGTCCTCAGGAACTTATGTTCAGAAGAAATGGAAAAACAAAATTAAATAAGTGGATAAATACATGTGTGTTGTTTTACTAAGACCTTATTTATTAAATATTTTGCTAAGCCTATAATATTAAATCAGCTATTTATATATCTCTATATAACAATGGTTCTAGAGTCAGGAGGTTAACCTTGTGGATTCCTCAGTGACCTTGAGTAATCACTCAACCAAAATACATTTGTATTTAAATACGAACATAAGTTCGAACATTACGTTGTTACCCTAGCCACTTCACAAAATACGTTCGAACACTAGGTTGTTACCCTAGACACTTCACAAAATATTTGAAAAACACATGGATAGACAATTTGATGATTCTATAAATCTGGTAAATGAATTAGAAATATTATAAAAGGTTTTTCTGAGAGGATACCATCGAGCAAAAAGAAAATGACTAGCATTTGACACTATGTAACTTTAAATCTATATTTCAGGGACCTCTGTCACTTTCTTGGGGAATTGAATCACCTATTCCTACTTAGCAGCATGAAAATGAGTTGAATCTCCAGGTTATAGCATTTGAAGGCATGCCTGAGAGGAGCAGATTCAAAAATCAACAGGTGGTTGATGTTTTCTGTGGGGAGCATTCCTGCCTCAGTCCTGCTGCTGTGACCCATTCCTAAACAGCTTTGGGGTCTACAGTCCCCCTTGGTACCTGCTGGGGATTTGTTCCAGGACCACCACCAATCCTACCACCATCATCCCTTCATAGCAAAAGCCAGAGATGCTCAAGTTTCTTATATAAAATGGCCTAGTATTTGCATATAACTTACACACACCCTCTTGTATACTTTCTATCATTTCCAGATTACTTACATTAATAATACTGAATACAATATAAATGCTATGCACATAATTGTTATAAGGATTGTTTTTTATTTGCATTGTTTTATTGTTGTATTTCTTTTTAAAAATTATTTTTGGTATTTCTTTTAACAAATATGTTTGATTCATGGTTAGTTAAATCCACCCACAATGGGGGTATGGAGGGTCAGCTGTATTCAGGAATTTGCATTAACAGACTTAAGAGCCTAGTAGATTCTTTGCTTAAATGAACTCTGTGCAGACACAGCATTCAACATTTCTATTTTGATACTTTAAGCAGACTGCAGTGTTTGACAAGCTATTTCAGTAATATGCAATAATCTTTACAAAATAGACATAGATGTTCTGTGACCCCAAATTCTCTGAAACTCTAAACTCAATTATTGAATCTATAGTGGTGTTTCTGATCAGATTACAAGATGAAGGAAGCAATGGAACTTGGCCTAATGTAATGAAAAATATTGCTATCTCTCCACTGATTATTTTGGATGATGGGAGAGCTGTATAGCCATTTAACTAAAGAGGAATCCTTTCAGGAACTACTCTGAAGTACTTTAAGAGATGGAGTTGCTGAAGAAAAAAGATTGAAAACAATTGGCTTAGCTGTTCAGAGCATGGCAAGAATGTAACTATAATCTGTCATTGTGTGGGCAGACAGATGGCCTGAAAATTGAATAAATTGGAAATCACTGGAAGGCAGCTATTTTGTCCTTGAGTGCATTAGGTATCTTGGAAAAATGTTATTAAATGGTGAACAATTGCTATCGAAAAGTTTCTAGTTGTTTGGAACATAGAGTTACATAAAGTCAAGATTCTATTATTATTCTAATAATAGATAAAATCCGAATGTAAAGAAAATGTTTCCTATGAACTATGTAATTTAATTCTTATCAGAGCAATACTTTAAACAATTATTTGATTAGCCTGTGTTTGTGAATGTATATAAAGTAAGCAATAACCTTATTTTCTCCTCTTTGTAATTTAATTCATTAGAAATTGAGAATCTCAGACTTCTCTCCAGCCCTATTAAATCTGCATCTTCATTTCCAGGTCACTCATACACTGTTTAACTTTGAGAAGCACTGTTGTATATTGTCTTGAGAGTCCACACTATGAAATAAATTGGCCCTTATTTACTCCTCAATTGAAATTCTTCAGACTTTCTTAAAGTTTCTAAATAAGTCCCAGTTAGTGGAAATGAACTGAATTTAGTTTAATTTTTTTTATCATGCATTGCTGTCCAAAAGAAGAAAGCTTATTTCTGCCAACTTCTTCTTATCCTCAACTTCCAACCACTGTCACGTCTGTCTTCTTTCTTTTTAATATTTTCAGGTGAATTAGAGGTTTGTCAACCGTAAGAATGAAATATATGGTTTATGGCCTATTTTTATGTAACTGGTCATTCTGAGATCTGGAAAACACTACCTGTGTTTATCTGCAACTAAAATCTAGACACCTGAGCCTACACTGCATAGCGAAACAGGTCACTAGAAAAACACAAGCAATTTAGAAAGGCTTTTAATATTGAACAGTTGCATTTTGTTTCTATTCATGTCTATCGCTTTCTCTTTTTTATTCTAAATTGCTTTATTATATTCTATATTTAATATTCTATCATTAACATGTCAATAACAGTCAATAATAATTGAGGACTCAGGTTTTGTCAATACACTGATTTATAATTAGTACAATATGTTATGAGTTTCCTTCGCACATTAATATTATCAGCTCTTCATTTTTTGTTGTTCACAATATATCTTCAACTACCTTTTTATTTTTAGGCAATGTACATATTACAATTTAAGAATAACATCTTCTTTGTTAAATATTTATTTCCACCCCTTTTCAGAAAATTAGATGGTTTACATTTATTGTTAGAAATAATATAAAGCTTTTCTGGTTTTGTGCTTCTAAATAATATTATTAATATATTCTTTTGTAATTACAAAAGCTCCTTGTTTTTGTTTTGTAATTCCTTTCTCAATAAAATAGAGCTGCAAATATTTTGTTCCTTTAAATATTTCAAATAAATAATTTTCATTTATAATAAAAAATATAAAATATGCCAAAGAATTTATTATTTCAAAAAATATGTCATTCACCAATTTGCTTTTAGATTTGTGAATACAGTCTCATTTTATTTTAATACTTTAATCATAGATCTTAACTTTTTTATAATTAATTTTAATTTGTATTTAACATGGTAATAATATTTTTACTTAATTTTATATTGTTGGGTTAGTAGTCACTGTTAGTACACATAACTATTTTACTTTTTCAACATGTAATTTTCATTAATCTTATTCAGATAAAGTTCATTTTCACTATTTTTCTTCAATTGGAAATATTTCATATTTTAAAGACTTCCATTCCTAACAAATGTGGAATACAACATTTTTAGCTCAAAATATTTTTCAAAACAAAACAGAATTTTTCCAGTCTTCACATATAAAACTAAAGCAACAAGCTCAAGTCTATCCAGACATTTTATACTTCAGAAACGAAAATACTAATCTTACGTGTTTATGGCGGATGTTTTTCTTATAATTTTAGTTAAAAAATATTTGTAGAAGGTTTTTATAGTAATATAGTCAGAAAATTAGTCTGCATTTTTACCTACAAATTAAGCAGTATTTTAAAAATTAGCTCAGGAAATTTTATTTTATATTGTATTTTAGTCTGCATTTGAATGATATTTAAATTCTTAGATTTTCACTTTAGATGTGGGAACTCCGGTGCTTAATTCTATCCTCTTTAATTTTATATCTGTGATTTCTTCTGCTTTGTTTTCAGTTCTATTTTTTTCCTGCACTGCAAAAGAGTTTCTAAAGATTGTATTTAATATTACAAGCTTCATTTAGTGCTCTATCATTTGGCATTTACATTTTTACATAGTTTTAAAATTATATATATTTCTTTGTATTTTTTATCTAATTTTATACAATTTTAAAAATCATGCACCTCTAATATCTATTGACTAGGTTTAGCTTTCATTTCAGAGATAACATTAATAGTGAAAAATATTATCTTAAATGCAAAGATATTCATTATTTAAAAATTGATCAATGACATTCACTAAATTATCACAGGGACGAAAACATAAAATGATCATCTGTAGAGATGCAGAAAAATAATTTGACAAAATTCAGCACTGATTTATAAGAATTATCAGCAAAATAAGAACAGAAATGAAAATTGACCAACAACCAGAAATGACAGCAACAACAAAATACCAAGTCAGTAAAGATGGAGAGAAATAGGGAAGCAGTGAAGGTAGATGTCATTTCTGTTTTTAGTGGTGGAGTACAAGGTGTTCTTGTGCTTGAAGGTCATGTTCTTGTGATAAAACGCACTGCAGAGACAACACAGTTTAATTGGCTGAGGCAGGTGACTCCCTTTAAGCATCAGGGTGGAACAAACTACACGACAAAATGTAATTTTAAAGACCACTCTCATTCAAATGTAATAATATCAAAGCACCCTTAACTCATTAATGAGTGAAACAATGAGTGTCATGGTCTGAACTGTGTTCCCCTCCCCAAACCCGTATGTTCAAGCCCTAACCCCTAGTTATACACATAAGGTAAATGAAACCTCATTTGGACACAAAGTTTTTGCAGATGTAATCAAGCTAAAATTATCTCTGTAGGTGGGACTTAAAATAACATGGGTTGTCTTTATAAGAAGAGGGAACAGAAACAGATAGGATGTGGAGAGGACCATGTGAAGAGAGAAGCTGAGACTGAAAAGGATTTATGTATTAATATTGACAGAAGCCAAGGAACACCATCTGAAGTTCTGACGGCAACATCAGAAGCTAAGAGAAAGGCATGGAAAAGATTCTCACCTAGAGCATCCAGAGGAGAGGTTGGTCCTGCAGACACCTTGTTTTCTGACCTCTGACCTCCGCAACTGTGAGGGAAGAAATTTCTGTTGCTTAAAGACACACAGCTTGTGGTACTTCATTATAGCAGCCCAAGGTAACTAATATAGATGACAAAATTGGTTCCAAGGGTGTTTGAGGAACTGGACCTTTATAGGCATTATTTTCATAATACTGCATTAAGCTATGATAACTGGACTAGATTCAAAATTGGATAATGCCCTAAATGCAATAAAGCTATAATTTTGAGATAAAATTTTAATAGCTTTATGAGATATAATTAACATCTGGTATACTGCACATTTTTGAGGTGTGAAATTTTTAAACATTAACATACGTATATACTTGTAAAACCATCACACTAGAAAGAGATCTCAAGCCTCTTCTTTTGACTTTCAACACATTGTCAATCCAGTACTAATCTGGTTTTATTACCATATATTAGCTTTTATTTTCTACAATTATATATCAGTAGAATTATAGAGTATGAATTCTTTTTGTCTTTTTTCCTTAAGCATAATATTTTTGAGATTCAACAATTTCTTGCATGTTGAAGTAGCACCTTTTTTTATTGTTACGTATTATTTCATTTCATAGACATACCACTATAATTTATTTACTAAACTCTTGACCAGAGGTTCTCAAATGAGGGACATTTTACCTGCCGGGGACATTTCCAATGTTTGGGGACACTTTTGGTTATCAGAGGTTTGTGGAGGAGGGGATAGAGTGTCCACAGGCCAGGGTTCCACAAAGGATAGCTCCCCACAACAAAGAATTAAGCCACTTCAACAGCTAATAGTGCTGAACTTGAGAACGCCGCTCTTGGTGGACAGTTGCATGGTGTCTGTTTTTGACAATAATGAATAAAGGTACTTGTGCAAGCCTTTTTACAGACTTATGCTTTTCTCCCCCCTAGGATAAATGCCTAGGGGTAGAATTGGTACATGTAAGGTAGATTTAGTTATCCAAAGTAGCTGTACTGTGTTACACTCCCACCGTCGATGTATGCAAACTCTAGAGTCTGGTTTCTTGACATCTATGCCAAATATTGGTAACACAATTTTTAAAATAGTAGCTTTTCTAGTAGATGTGTATAATTATCTCATTTTATTTTTTATTACTAACGATATTAAGAAATTTTTCATTTGCTTATTTGCTATTATATCATTTTTGTGTAGCATCTGTTAGTTTTTATAGCTCTCTTGTTTCTATGTTGTACATTATATTTATATATTCTTGCTCTTATTCATAATAAATAGTATATATAATTGTGTAATTAAAAATAAACATTAAAGTATAAATATATTTACACATTTCTGTAGTTTATCATTATATAATTATTGCTTTCTGAATAAAAAGAAATGTATCCACAGTTTGGATAAAAAGAAGTGCTTTCATGTAGTTTACTAAGACATTTTCTGTGCTTTATATTTGAAGCCTATGCTTTCACTTTTACACATTGTTCCATAATATATTTTGGACTCCTTTAATTTTGAACTCATTCACGCTTTTGTTGTGAGGAAGGACTTGAGGTTTGTTTTCTTCACATTTATCTCGTAGTTCTGCACACTTTGTTAAATAAAATTATCTTTCCCCTTTGAATAACTGCAGTATCTTTGATATTATATTATTCATATAAGCATGGATCTATTTGTGAACTCTATTCCATTCCATTACTCTAATTGTTTATCCATCTACTAATAACACATTCTCTCGATGACTATAGCTTTAAGTTATTGCATGGTGTTAGGAAGTGTGAGTATTCCAACTTTTTTTTCAGCTTTCTATCATTTGTTTTTGCTCTCTTGATGTACATTTTTAAATCAGTGTGTCAATTTATATAAAAATATCTTTTGTGATTATGGTGAGGATTTCTAGAATGATTAATTTGGAAAAACCAAAACCTTTTACACACTAAAATTCACTGAACTTTCAAGCCATGATTATTGTATTAGTTTGTTCCGGCATTGCTATAGAGAAATACAGAAGATTCGACAATTTATGAAGAAAAGAGGTTTAATTGCCCCACTGTTCTGCAGGCTATACAGGAAGGATGATGCTGGCATCTACTTAGCTTCTGGGAAGACTCAGGAAACGCACAATCATGGCAGAAAGCAAAGGGGGACAGGCACGTCACATGGCCAGAACAGCAAGAGAGTGAAAGGGGAAGCTGCTACACACTTTTAAATGACCAGATCTCATGAGAACTCACTCACTCACTATTATGAGAACAGTATCAAGAGGGATGATGCTGAACCACTCATGAGAAATCCACCCCATGATCCAATCACCTCCCATCAGGCCTCACCTCTAACATTGGAGATTACATCATACCAGATTTGGGCAGGGACACACATCAAAACCATCAATTATTGTATGCGACTCCATTTATTTAGAACTTTCCTACATCTCCCAACACTTTTGCTAGTTTCCTATTTAGAGAGATCTTGCATGTAATTTGTTAAAATCATATATACATATTTTATTTTTATTAGTATTTTACATGGATTTGATTTTTATCATTAATTGCTCATTGGAAATATATAGAAATAAGTTAATGGGTTGACTTATTTTTTCTATGATGTGGCTAAAATTACTAGTTTATTCCAGCAGCTGATTTTTACAGTCACTAGAAGTTTATGTGTAGGTAATGGAGTTGTTTAAAAATTTAGAATTGTATTTTTCATTTCTTAACTGTGTATGTTTTACTTATTTATTTGATTTGTCTCACTGGTTAATTCCTCCCATACAGTAGAGAGAACAATAGTGAAAGAGGACACTTTGTCTTCTTCTGGATCTTAAATGAATAATTTATTAGTTCAAACTTCAGTGTGATATTTCCGTAGATGCCTTCTATTTGCTTAAGGATGCTTCTTTGTATTCTATTGGGGCGAGATATTTTTATTATAATTCTATCTTGAAAATGCCAAATGTTTTTTCTGCCTCAGAGGAAGTTTATATATTTTTTTCATTTTACTCAGTTAATGTGGTGAGTTTGAAAATTCAAATACTTGAAAAATCACGTTCCCATCAAACACTGCTTCTTACTGTGCCTTTCTAAGAGGACTACCTTCAACTTGGGCATTTAGAGGATACTTCCCTTCCTATAGCTCAGGGTTTTTTTGTATTTTTTTTATGTTTAAATTTTAGTGATATTTCTTTTATGTGTTTTTAAAATATTTTATGGGCTACTGCATTGACCCATTTGTTTCAACTTTACAGCTCTAGTTAAATATAAAAATTAATAAAATGTCAACACTCAAGTATTACATATATCCCTTGATCTGGTGATTTAGGACTATGAGAAAAATGCTCAATTTCCCTCGATAGAAGGAAGTATGAACTTTTTTATTTATTTATTACTGTAGTCTCACAGCCTAAAAATCAGTAGGTCTCCACTGGTCAGCAAGCAAATGATCATGATTGTTTTTCTGAATTTTTGACAATTTCAGAATAGGCAAGAAAGCTAAGTTTTAAAAATAAAATGCCAACATCAAGAATTTAAAATCAAATTCGTCACAGTGAATCCCAACAGGAAATAGTTCTTCATTTTATGATTACTCAGAGATTTTGCTTGTTGTAGTGGTCTTCCTTCTGGCTCATAATTTTTTGCTACTCTGCAGCAGAAATAATAAGAAATATTTTCCCAGTCCACAGCGGTGAAGGAGAAGAAAACTATAAATCAAAAGTAGCATATTCTGTGGATCATTTATTGAAATAAACACAGTGAGTACAAGATGGGTAATCTATTTGCATAATCAAAGACACCCTTCATCTGTGTCTATTTTTCTCTTTTCTTTTCTTTTCTTTTTTTTTTTTTTTTTTGAGACAGAGTCTCACTCTGTTACCCAGGTTGGAGTGCAGTGGCATGATCTTGTCTCACTGCAGACTCCGCCTCTCGGGTTCCAGCAATCTTCCTGCCACAGCTTCCTGAGTAGCTGGCATTACAAGGTATGGGCCACCATGCCCGGCTAATTTTTGTATTTTTATTAGAGATGGGGTTTCGCTATGTTGGCCAGACTGGTCTTGAACTCCTGGCCTCAAGTGATCTGCCCGCCTCAGCCTACCAAAGTGCTGGGTTACAGGCATGAGCGACTTGCCTGGCTATGTCTATTTTTAACATAGTTATAGTGAACTATAATTATTTTTACATAAAAACTATTCTTACAAATGTTATATGTATTTTAAGAGCATACAAACTTACAGGTTTTTTTATTTAATAAAAACCAGTGGCAGATTGATAATGCAGAATATATTATTTGTAAAAAATCATTTGTTGTCATACAAACATATATTTTATTTGAAAATTATACTTTTGAATAGCTTTTTGGAAAGTTAAAGTATTCTCATTTATTGCATACATTTGTCACCAAAATTATACGAAAGAGTGTTTGATTCAAAATGTGTGTGTGTGTGTGTGTGTTCCTATATAGGACCCAGATAACACATATATATTAAATAAATAAATACATGTATATATATATATCATGCACACACATTTAAATATAATGTAAATGTGTGTGTGTGTGTGTGTGTGTGTGTATGTGTATGTGTATGCAGATGCCCCTCTGGAAACAAATTTAAAAAGAATCCCCTCTTTTGAGTGTATAAAGAAGTTCCTTTCTTAAGGAATGGATAACAGGGGTTGGTACTTTGGCTGAATTCCTCTTCCTCTTACTTTCATTAGACTTGGCACTGTTGCATAGAACACAATTTTCCAAAATGTAATGTCTGTGTTATGCCTACAAATGTACCATACATAACAATTTGTCATTTTCTGTAATTACATACTGACCTATTTAACATTTATCTAACCACTTATATATCTTAATCAAAATAAATCAACCCATGTAAATTGTTTATTTCTATTGTCTTTCTCAGTATAATGCACAAGATACCTTTCTATCTCTATATGTATTTGTCATTTTCATGTCTGTCCCTACATGAGTTGACTCTATTTTTCTGTTACATAGATATGTGATGTTAGTACAATATATGTTAACTAAAAATGGATGATGCAACCTTTTAAAATTATGACCATCGCAGTGAAAATTATGTCTCTAAAATATCAGGGGCTTAGGTATTTTCAGATTAAATTAGGAAAAATAGAGTATCTTTCCATTTATTTATGTGGGCAAATTTCCCATTTGTTCACATTAAATCTTTTAATGGCATATTGCCTAAATCTTTCTCAGAAAAGCTTAGCCAAATTGCCTAGGATGTTTCCTTTCTCCCATATTACCATCACTGTATACCATCATATTTCTAATAATTTTAATTTTGGAACATGAAAATGGTATTTCAATTTAAATGCGTATGTTTTTCTATTTGCAAAGAGATTAAACATCTCTTCAAGTTTTTAAACTATATGCAGCCCTTCTTTTCTGCTATACCTGTTCATTTCCTCAAGCTATTTTTCCATCAGACAGTTTCATGTTTTCTCATTGATTTGAAGCTTCTATTAAAGTATTGTATACACATGGGTAAATGCACATAAGTTTAAAGCTTAGTGAGTTTTAAAATACTATGATCATCCAGAATAAGAAAATGTAATAGTCACACACCTGATTTCCACCCATCCCTCCTAACATAACACTATTCTAACTTTTACCAGTAAGGAATCAAATAGTGTGTGTAGTGTTTTGAACCACATTTTTTTGCTTAATATTATATTTGTGAGACGAATTGACTATATGACCTGCAAATGAAACTATTTATATTTATTTCTCTAATATTTTATTAGGTGATCATATTACAACTTATTTGTTTACTGTACTCTTTATAAGTATTTTAGTCCACTTTTGGGCCACAGTTTGGGGTTATTTTGGTGTTATTCTGAAAAGTGTTTTCATGAGTACACATTTTTTTTAGCTATATATATGCATGCATTTCTGGAGAAACCATCTTTACAAGTAGAATTTTGGGGCCTAATACATATCTTTATCCAAATTATTTGAACTAAGTTATGCCAATAACATCAATTTGAGTGTTCTAATTAGTCAACATTCTCATCAATACTTTGCACTTTCTCTTCAACTTAGAATTCTAAAATATTCCTTTCAAATTCAGGATTCTGAATGACAAGTACTTACATCTCATTGTGGTTTGAATTATTTTTTCAGGTAACCAATATAAATAAAAACCTTTTAATAAGTTCATTGGTTATTTGAATATTTTATTTTTGAAGTGTCTAAAATATTTTCTTTCTAATCCAGTCCAGTTATTTTTCTGTGGTTTGCTTCTTGTTGTCTTATTGAGTTCATTGCCTTTTTAATATTCTTTTCCGGTTAACATTTCCCCCTCATTGATCTGAAATGTTTTCATTATATACCACCTTTCCATATCTGTCAATGTCTTGATTTTCTATATGATCTTCATCTATCTGTAGTTATAACTCATTTTAATCATAGAAGCTTTAAGAATTGCTTAATATTTTGTATTGACTCCAAATTCCATTGATTTTATAGGATATTTCTAGCTATTCTTGCTTCTTTATTCCTCCAAGTAAATTTGTCTATTTTTCTAAATCTGGAAAAAGAAATTCTAGAAAATGTCGTTTTGTTATGACACAGAAGATATAAGTTTATTTAAAGAACTGGCACATTTATGATTTTAAGGCTTTTTCAAGAGCATGGAATTTCTTTCCCCGTGCTCAAGTCCAAATTTGTGCCATTCAGAAGTGTTTTCTAGTTTTTTTTATATATAGGTTTTAAACATTTCTGGTTAAGTTTATGCCCTCACATTTTATTTTAGTTTGGTTAATGACGTTTTACATGTGTGAGTTCCCTCAATTATTTCTTTTAAATGTTCTGATTCAATAGGAACACTCTCCTTAGTATCCTTAACAGAAATGATTCTTGTTTATAGAATTGCTAAATAAGTAAAGAAATTTTAAGTTAAATCATGGCAAGGAGTTATAATTATACTAAGCTTTTTTGTTCCTAGAGGTTTTGGCTCACTCATATGGTAATCTATATGAAAATTTTTCTGTGATATCTAATATTAGAAAGATCCTCAGTGATAGAATAGTGTTTCTTCCTAGCTGATTCATACATCTTTCTCTCCCAACATTTTGTTTGTTGAAGTGTTCCCCAACATATGACTCATTGCTTACTAAATCCCTATTGAGCAGCCAAAGCCCTGGTGACTAATTATGTCATTAATTTGGGAAAGTCAGAGACAATAAGACTGTCAGTTGAAACTTTGTAGGAGGTAAAAAAGTCACTGCTGTCAGCTGCAAAGATCCTTAAAACGGTCTTCAGTAAAGTCAAATTTTGTGACAAGAATTATTGCATCAAAGTCGGGGAAATACCTCTTAGATCAAATAAGATACATTGAAAAGCCAAAAATTATTTTTATCTCACTTTGGGTTCTCATAAGGTCTACCCACTGTTACTTGGATATGAGACTTAACAAATGGAAAAGAAGACAGGGGTACTGTCACACTGTATTTTCCTACGGCCTAATGACCACAATGGTTGATGAACTGCAGTAAAGTTTCTATAATATTTTCCATCTATTCATTTGCTCAATCACCTTGTAATGGTTATGTTGGTTAATTCCAGTCTTTCATGGGTAAGCAACAAAATGAGACTTAATTTGAAATATCCAGTATTTTTCTATTCTTACAAATAATTTTCAGGATCAATGCACTGAGGATTAGGAATGGCAATGTGTATTACTACTCTGATACCAACTATATCCAATCTAATGTTGGAATTTGTTTGACAAAGTGTTGTGTATTTGAAAACAGGCAGCACTGAATAAAAAGAATATGGGCAAAAGAAAAATGGAAGTGTTTTGAATAGAAGTCTAAAATATTTATTGATCAATGCTGAACTGAGTAAGCAGGAGATGCCTGTACATAAATGACATTATCCTGATCTAGTAACAGGGAGAAGCAGAATATCTGAAAGCTGTTTATTAATTTGATAATAATAAGATTAGAAACATGCAAATCAAGATTAATAGTATTCACTTCTAATTGGGTTTAGGTAGACTTTGACTATTTTGCTTCTGATGTTCTTATATTTTTAATTTTCTATAATGATCATATAACATATAATATTTTCATAATATTAAACATTTTAGAATTAAACTCCATTAGAGTGTGTCTTTCCTAAAGTAATATAAACATCCAATCTTGTCCTTAACAATTCTGTTCTCAAACATTAGCCTATTCCCTCAAGCCAGTGTTGCTTTCGACCCATATTGTCCATCATTTCAATTTATCTCAAAGTTTTTTATTGCAACAATTAAATGCTTTGAATGATACCCAAGGCATAGTTCTATTTCAACAAAATTTCAAAGTTAATAGTTACATCAAATTTTGTTGGTGCTCATTGAATTTGGTTATTAAAACCATAAGTAGTATGTTTTATGCTGACTGAGGGAGATAAAAGTAGTAATGTTTAATATTCAAACTGTGATGACTGAAAAAAAAAAATGAGGCCTGTAAAATCTTATTTAATGTCAAATTTTAATTAAACAGGCTTAGCAGACCAAAATTAAAATCTCAATTATTTTTAAATTATTAATGACAGACAACTAGATTGAGTGAACACTGGCATCTCTTTTCAAATAACTTAGTTTAGTGGATGAGTTAAACATAAACTAGTTATTATAATGCAGCGAAGTATGTGAAAAATTTAATTTGAACCCTACTTAGCTTAAAATCCTGACATTCTAGGATGCAAGTCCTGCAAACTTTCCATATGTAATCAACAATTTTCTAAACATGCATGCTGTATCTCTCCTGTGTGACTTTGCATACATCATTCCCACATTCTAGATCATCCCGACCCACCTTAAGTGACTGCTTTTGCACAATCTCCCTTAAAATTCTAACTCAAGCACTGCATCTTTTGAGTCCTTCCCTAACATCTTAACATCTTCCTTCTTTCATTCATCATTAACTATAGTTAGTTATTATAGCACCTGTTAGCACTGTAAAATTATGTGTGTTACACAAGTACAACATGCAGACTAAGGTCGTGTATTACCTAGCCTCATACCAGCGTCACCTAGAACAGCAAAAATGTATGCAGATTAATCACAATATATTTGGATGTACAAAACATATTGAGAGCAAAATATGATGGAAATTTAGGTGATGCTCTTTGAGCATTGCTTCCATTTTCCAATAATGTAACCAGGAATCACTGTTCATGTAATTAAAGAACAATAAGTCTATGTGAATCAAAATATACATATACATGCAAATGTTAAACCTCAGTAGGAAGAGGCCCATTCTCTTGCTTGCTGATATATATATATATATATATATATATACACACACACACACACACACACACACACACACATATGTATGTTGTGTGTATATGTATATACACACAACAATCTATAGGCTTGCCTTTTAAAATAGTATAAGCAACAAATTTTAAGAGAAACAATAATGAGTGTGTAAAACATTAGATATGTGTATGTACCTTTGCTATTATTTGTGGAAATGGGGCTATAAAATAAGCTCCTTTATTTTCTTTTGTAAAACATTTCTTTAATATGAAGTAATGCAATACGTATTTATGTTCTAAGTGTTAATTTCCTTGGATATAAAATAATATCTTGTTCCTTTGATTCTCTTACATATAAGTGTATTTACTCAGATATTACTCCAAATACACCAGATATATTCAAAGTTGAAAAAATATATACTTTGGAATGTATTATCACCTTATGTCACATGAAGAAATCAAAATCTCTGGCATCCAAGTGCATTCCAGCCTGAAAAAAATTATGCAATTGTGAATTTAACAGAAAGCAAATTGCTCACATATGGAGTCAACGTGAAGCTATATCAATATTTATTAAAAGTTTATATATTACTTTTGATCCCCTGGAGAGAAATACAAAATTCAAATAATTATTCTATTTTTATATCCCAATTTGTAATTATGAAACTCTAGCATTTTAATTTTTCTCTTTCAAGTTTACCTGAAGCTTCACAAAATTCTGTGAGGAATCTATTATAACAGGTATTTTGCTTATTTCCACACAAACAGAAGGAAATGTGTATTTTCTATGCCCTGAAGAATTTACTCTTTTCTGTAAATGACATATGGTAGTTAATTCTTTTTGGTAATAAAATATTCCTGTTTTTAGGCCGAACAGCCTTTTCATTTAAATTCAGGGCAACATATCAAAGCTTTGCCGTAATAATACAGAGTAATCGACTAAAGTAATATAGAATTTAAATAACAAAGAGTTTAAACAATTTAATATGTCTTCTATTAATTTCAAACTGAAATTTTACAGAAATTATTTGGAATATGCTGCCAGAGTACACACACACACACACACACACACACATCACACGCTCACATCACACACTCACACCCAGCTAAAGGAAATTACCACAGCTATAATGATTTCATTAAATATCTGAAATTAAAGTTTCTTTTGGATTTTCAGCTGAAGCTCATAGTAAATAAAAGTAATATGATCATTGTTGCATACTGTGAATCAACAGCACCCAGAAACCTTCGACTTTCTATATTTACACAGCTTAATTATCCGAACTGAAACCTGAGGCCATCTGTGTCAACATGATTTCACAATTCATTCCAGAAAATTATTTTTCAGGAAAGTAAGGCTGCAAACCAATAAATAACTTATTGTTTGCTTCAGGAAATTTCTGCAAATCAATTTATGTCAGTAAGCAACTCTCCTCTGGGCCAACAGATTGCTCACCTGGGCAGGTAGCAGCTTGTGTCAATTAACAGTTTACTTATGAAGACTTCTGTCATGGCCCTTAACTCACAGTGTCCCCCAATCCTAAACTCTATGTCCTGAACATTACCTATTCTTATCAGTCATTGGTCTTGAAAGGCCCCGGGCAACCATTTGAGCCCAGACTTCAATACTCTATCAATACCACCTTATCATCTACTTTTCTAACATGACCCCTCAAGGTGGTGACCCCACTTACAGTCGTCTTTTATTGAATTTAGCTTTCCCTAATCAACATGCTAGTCTATTGGATGCAGTGTCAGAGGCAAAAATCACAGAGGTTCTGAAAGCATCAGCCCATGGTTTTCTAAACATCATGGTTCAAGACCCTTAACACGAAACAGAAAGTTTCCCCGAGGCGCCGTAAACAACCCATTTGGGCGCTTCCCTGATAATTATAGTGAAATCTGGCATCTAATTTTTTTTGGTGGACTCTCAAATTTTATATTTATGTTTTGATTCCTAGAAATAAAAAATGTTTTTATAAGGAATTCTTTGATCGTTTATGTTTTATTCTTGATAGAAACCTACTACTTTATAACTTCGTTTATGTTTTACTCTTGATAGAAACCTACTACTTTATAACTTCGAACATTATTGATGTTCTTCCTGTATTTCTGAGAGGTGACAGCTTGCTGGCATCCCTCGCTGGCTCTCGGCGCCTCCTCGGCCTCAGCCCACTCTGGCCGCGCTTGAGGAGCCCTTCAGCCCGCAGCTGCACCGTGGGAGCCCCTCTCTGTGCTGGCTGAGGCCTGAGCGGGCTCCCTCTGCTGGCGGGGAGGTGTGGAGGGAGAGGCGCGGGCCGGAACCTGGGCTGCCTGCGGTGCTCGCAGGTCCAGCGCGACTTCCGGGTGGGCGCGGGCTCAGCGCGACTTCCGGGTGGGCGCGGGCTCGGCGCGCCCCGCACTCTTGAGCGGTCGGCTGGCGCCGCCGGCCCTGGGCAGTGAGAGGCTTAGCACCCGGGCCAGCAGCTGCGGAGGGTGCACTGGGTCCTCCAACAGTGATGGCCCGCCGGCGCCGCGCTCGAATTTTCGCTGGGCCTCAGCCACCTCCCCGCGGGGCAAGGGGGCAGGGCTCGGGACCTGCAGCCTGCCATGCTGGAGCCCTCACCCTCCTCCCCGCCCCCGTCCCCTGCCCCCCGCCCCCCGCCCCCCAACCGCAGGCTCCCGCGCGCCACCCCGAGGGGACGGGCGCCACCTCCTGCTACGCGGCACCCGGTCCCGTCAACCGCCCAACGGCTGAGGAGTGCGGCAGCGCGCCAGAGACTGGCGGGCAGCTCCGCCCGCGGCCGGGATGCACTAGGCAAAGCCAGCTGGGCTCCTGAGTCCGGTGGGTACTTGGAGAACTTACTACGTCTAGCTGGAGGATTGTAAATGCACCAATCAGCATGCTGTGTCTAGCTCAAGGTATGTGAACGCACTAATCAGTGCTCTGTGTCTAGCTAATCTGGTGGGGACTTGGAGAACTTTTGTGTCTAGCTAAAGGATTGTAAACAGACCAAGCAGCTCTCTGTAAAATGAACCCATCAGCTCTCTATGAAATGGACCGATCATCAGGATGTGGGTGGGGTGAGATAAGGGAATAAAAGCAGCTGCCAGAGCCAGCAACAGCAACGTGCTAGGGTCCCTTTCCACAGTGTGGAGGCTTTGTTCTTTTGCTCTTTGCAGTCTTGCTGCTGCTCACTGTTTGGCTCTGCGCAGAGCTGTAACACTCACCAAGAAGGTCTGCAGCTTCACCCAAAGATATTCCAAAGATACAGAAAACTATATAGAGACATTTTGTATAGTTCTAATAGCATATAATCCACAGGTCCCTGATCTATAATATGGGTTTTTTATAAAATTGTTTTTTTGTATGCTATGAGGAATTTTACTTGTTAAAAAGAAGAGGTGGAAAGGCAGAATATGAAAACTATGAAAATGACATAAGAGACTATGAATTAGGTGAGAAACCAGAGAGGTTTAGAAACCTGTAGACATTGTGCATCCCCCAATGCCTTTCCCCTTAAAAAAATTATATTCTAATCCAGTCCATCAAATAAAGTCTACGTTCATTAGAAACATATTCTCTTGGTTTTTATAATTTCAGTTTTTTTCAGACACAGATAGTGCATATGCAGATTTGTTACTTTTGTACAGTGCACCCTGGTAGTGAGCATAGTACCCAGTAGGTAGTTATTCAGCCCATGCTCCCCTCTTTCCCCCACCCCCGTAGCCTGCAGCATGTCTTGTTCCCATGTTAATGTTCCTGTGTGCTCAGTGTTTAGGTTCCACTTATAAGTGAGAATGTGTGGTATCTGGTTTTCTTTTCCAGCACTAATTTGCTTAGGATTATGTCCTTAGCTCCATCCATGTTGCTGCAAAGGACATAATTTCATTCTTTTTTATGGAGGCATAGTATTCCATAGTGTATATGTACCACATTTTCTTTATCCAATCCACCTTTGATGGGCACCTAGGTTCATTCCATGTCTGTGCTATTGTGAATAACATGCTGATGAACGTACGAGTGCATGTATATTTTTCTGGTAGAATAATTTATTTTCCTTTGAATATATACCCAGTAATGGGAATGCTGGGTCGAAGGGTATCTCTGTTTTAAGTTCTTAGAGAAATCTCCAAAATACTTTCCACAGTACCTGAACCAGTTTACATTTCCATCAACAGTAGTGTATAAGCATTCCCTTTACTCTGCAGCCTGGCCAACATCTAATTTTTTTACTTTTTAATTATAGCTGTTGTGACTGATGTGAGATGGCATCTTACTGTGGTTTTTGCTTGCATTTATTTATTTGATGATTAGTAAGGATGAGTGTTTTTTCATATACTTGAGTGTCTTCTTTTGAGAAAATATCTGTTCATGTCCTTTGCCTTTTCTTGATTTAAATTTTAAGTTCTGGGGTACATGTGCAGGAAGCGCAGTTTTGTTACATAGATAAACGTGTGTGGTGGTGGTTTGCTGGCACCTATCAACCCATCACCTAGGTATTAAGCCCAGCATGCATTAGCTATTTTTCCTGATGCTCTCCCTCTCCTCAACCCCCTACAGAAAATTATAGTGTGTGTTGTGTGTTGTTCCCCATTGTGTGTTGTTCCCCTCCCTGTGTCCATGTGTTCCCATTGTTCAGCTCCCACTTATAAGTGAGAAGATGCGGAGTTTGATTTTCTGCTCCTGTATTAGCTTTGCCCTTTTTAACTGGGGTTGTTTTATGCTTGTCATTTTTTCTTCCTTATGGATTTGTTATATTAGATCTTTATCAGATGCATAGTTTGCAAATATTTTCTCCCATTCTGTAAGTTGTCTGTTTACTCTGTGGATAGTTTCTATTGCTGTGCAGAAGCTTTTTAGTTTGATTGACTTTCACTTGTCAATTTCGTTTTTGTTGCAATTGTTTTTAGAAACTTAGCCAAAAATTATTTGCCAAGGCCAATGTCGAGAAAAATATTTCCTAGGTTTTGTTTTAGAGTTTTCATAATCTGAAGTCTTACATTTTAACCTTTAATCCATCTTGAATTAATTTGTGTGTATGGTGGAAGGTAAGCATCCAGTTTCACTCTTCTGCTTATGGCTAGCGAATTATCCCAGCACCATTTATTGAATAGGGTGCCTTTTCCCCATTGTTTGTTTTTGTTGGCCTTGTCCACGATCCAGATGGTGGTAAGTGTGCAGCTTTATTTTTGAGTGTTCTATTCTGTTCCATTGGCTTAAGTGTCTGCTTTTGTAACAGTATCATGGTTAGTGTACACTTATAGTATAGCTGGAAATTGGGTAGTATGACGCCTCTCTGGCTTTATTATTTTTGCTCAGAATTGCTTTGGCCATTCTGGCTTTTGGGGGTGTTCCATATAAATTTAGAATAGTTTTTTCTAATTCTGTGAAGAATGATGTTGGTAGTTTCATGGAGATAGCCTTGAATCTACAAGTTGCTTTGGGCAGTGTGGCCATTTTAACATATTGATTCTTTTAATCTGTAAACATGGAATGTTATTCCATTTATTTGTGTTATCAAAATCTCCTTCCTTCCTTCCTTCCTTCCTTCCTTCCTTCCTTCCTTCCTTCCTTCCCTCCCTCCCTCCCTCCCTTCCTCCCTTCCTTCCCTCCCTCCCTCCCTTCCTCCCTTCCTTCCATCCTTCCTTCCTTCCTTTTCTTATTTCCTTCCTTTTTTGAGACAGAGTCTCACCCTTTCACCCAGGCTGGAATGCAGTGGAGTTATTATAGCTCACTGCAGGCTTGAACTCCTGGCCTCAAGCCGTCAGGGTAGTTAGGACTACAGGCATGTGCCACCATGCCTCGCTATTTAAAAAAAAAAAAAAAATTTGTATAGATGAGGTTCCACTATGTTGCCTAGGTTGGTCTCAAAACTCCTGGGTCCAAGCGATATACCTGCCTCGGCCTCCCAAAGGCATGAACCACTGCATCCAGCTTCAGATTTCAGCTGTGTTTTGTAATTCTCCTTGTGGAGATCGTTCACATCTTAGGTTAGTTGTATTTGCAGGGATTTTATTTTCATCCTAGGTGTTGTAAATATGATTGTGTTCTTAATTTAACTCTCAACCTGGATGTTGTTGTTGTATAGAAATGCTACTAATTGTTGTACATTGATTTTGTATCCTGAAACCTTGCTAAAATCCTTTATCATTTCTAGTAGACTTTTGTTGAAGTCTTTAAGCTTTTTTAGGTATAGAAGGATATTGTTGGGTGAAGACAGATAGTTTGCCTTAATCTTTACTTCCTATTTGGGTGCTTTTCTCTTTTTCTGTTGCAAGATTGCTCTGACTAGGATTTCTGGTACTATGTTGAATAGGAGTGGTAAGAGTGGATGTCCTTGGCTTGTTTCATTTCTAAAGGAGAATGCTTTCAGCTTTTGCCCATTGAGTATTATATTGGCTGTGGGTTTGTTGTAGATAGCTCTTTTTTATTTTGAAGTATGCTTATTTGAAGCCTCAACTGTTGAGGGTTTTTTTTTGTTTTGTTTTTTCATGAAGGGACACTGGATTTAATTGAAAGCTTTTCCGGCATCCGTTGAGATGATCATATGGTTTTTGATTTAATTCTGTTTATCTGGTGAATCACATTTATTGATTTGCATATGTTGAACCAGCCATGCATCCCAGGAATAAAGCCTGTATTGTCATAGTAGATTAATTTTTTGATATGCTGCTGATGGATTCAGTTTGCTAGTACTTTGTTGAGAATTTTTGAGTCTATGTTCGTCAACAGTGGTCACCTGAATGTTCTTTTTTTTTGCGTCTCTGCCAGGTTTTGGTATTAAGCTGCTTCTGGCTTCACAGCGTGAGTTAGGAAGGAGTACGTTCTCTTCAACTTTTCTGGAATAGTTTCAGTAGAATTGTACTAGTTCTTCGTTATACTTCCGGTAGAATTTTGCTGTGAATCCATATAGTCCAGGGCTTTTTGGCTTGGTAGATTTTTTATTACTTATTCAATTTCAGAGCTTCATATTGGTCTCTTCAGTATTTCAGTATCTTCCTGATTCAATCTTGGAAGATTGCCTGTTTTCAGAAATTTATCCATTTCCTCTAGATTTTCTAATTTTTGTGTCTAGAGTTATTCCTAGTATTCTCTGAGGATTATTTTGTATGTCTGTGGGACCATTTTTAATGTCGTTTTTGTCATTCTGATTTATATATTTAGATCTTCTCTTTTTTTTCTTTGTTTATCTAGCTAAAGGTCTATCAATCTCTTTTTTTAAATCAACTCTTGGTTTCATTAATCTTTTGTATGGATTTTTGCATCTCAATTTCATTCAGATCTTCTCTATTTTAGTTGTTTCTTTTCATTCCTAGCGTTGATGTAGGGTTGTTCTTTTTTTTTTCTTCCCTAGTTCCTTTAGGTGTAGTGTTAGATTGTTAATTTGAAGTATTTCTAACTTTATGATAAAGGCATTTAAACGTTCCTCTTAACACTGATTTAGCTGCATCCCAGAGATTTTGGTAATTTGTGTTCCCATTTTCATTAATTTCACTTTCTTAAAATTTCTCCCTTAATTTTGATTTTCACACAGAAGTTATTCAGGAGAAAGTTGTTTAATTTTCATCTATTTGTGTAGTGTTGAGAGATGTTGGTATTTATTTATATTTTGATTACATTGAGATCTAAGAGTGTGCTTGATATGATTTCATTTTTTAAAATTTATCCAGACTTGCTTTATGACCAAGCATGTGGTCAATGTTAGAATATGTTCCCTGTGCAGATGAGAAGAATGTATATTCTGTGGTTATTGAGTGGAGTGTTCTGTAGATGTCTTATTAGGTCCAGATGGTCAAGGGTGAAGTTTAAGTACACAGTTTCTTCCTTAGTTATCTGCTTTGATGATCCAGTGCTGCCAGCGGGGGTGTTGAAGTCTCCTACAGTTATTGGGTGGTCGTCTGTCTTTTTGTAGTCCAAAAAGAACTTGTTTTATGAATCTGGGTGCTCCATGTTGGGTGCATTTATATTTAGGGTACTTAAGTATTCTTGTTTGATCATATACTTTCTCATGACGTAATGCTCTTCATTCTTCAATTGTTCTTTTTAATTTTGATTAAAGTCTGTTTTATCTGATATAAGAATAGTTACTCCTGCTTTTTTGTTATCATTTGCATGGCAGATTTTCTCCATCCCCTTATTTTGGGCCAGTGGCTGTCATTACATATGAGGTGAGTCTCTTGAAGACTGCAGATGGTGAGCCTTGCATTTTTATCCAGTTTGCCATTGTATGTCATTTAAGTGGGGGTGTTTAGCCTATTTACATTTATGGTTAATGTTGATACATGAGATTTTGATCCTATCATCACGTTTGTAGCTGGTTTTTAGGTAGACTTGATTGTGTAGATACTTTATAGTGCCTGTGAGCTATGTACTTAAGTGGGTTTTTGTGGTAGCAGGTGTCATTCTTTTTACTCAATGTATAGCACTCCCTTAAGGACCTTTCATAAGGCTGGTCAAGTTGAAATTGATTCCCTCAGTATTTGCTTATCTGAGGAGAAATTTGTTTCTTCTTCACTTAGGAAGTTTAGTTTAGTGAAATATAAAATTATTGCCTGGAATTTATTTTCATTAATGATGTTGGACATAGGCCCTTAATCTCTTCTGGCTTGTAAGGTTTTTGCTGAGATATTTACTACTAGCCTAGTGGAGTTCTTGCTTTATGAAAACATGACCTTTCTCTCTAGCTGCCTTTAAGATTTTTTTTTTCTTTTGTATTTACTTTGGTGAATATGATGACTGTGTGCCTTAGGGATAGTCACCTTTTATAGTGCCTAGCTGGGTTTGCTGTATTTTTTGGATTTACATGTCACTCTCTCTAGCGAGGTTAGGAAAATTTTCATAGACTCTATTCTCAAATCTATTTTCCAAGTTGCCTTTTCTCTTTGTTTCTCTTCTAGGAATGACAATGAGTCGTAGATTTGGTCTCTTTATATAATTCCATATTTCTTAAAGCTTTGGTTCATTTTCTTTTTTTAATTCTTTTTTAAAATTTTCTTTTGACTCAGTTGATTCAACGAACCAGTCTTTGAGCTCTGAGATTCTTTCCTTAGCTTGGCCTACCTTCTGTTAATATTTCTTACTGTATTATAAAATTCTTATACTGAATTTTTTCTGCTCTAGAAATTCAGTGTGGCTGTTGTTTAAAATGGCAATTTCATCTTTCAGCACTTACTTAGATTGCTTTACTGGATTACTTGGCTAGGGTTTCAACTTTCTCCTTAATGTTCATGAGCTTCCCTGCCATCGAGGTTCTGTATTCTATGTCTGTTGCAATTATTTTAGACTGATTAAGAACCATTGCTTGGTAGCTAGTGGGCTAATTTTGAGGTAAGAGGACACTCTAGCTTTTTGAATTGCCAGAGTTCTTGCACTGATTTTTTCTCTTCTGGTAGGGTTAGTGTTCCTTTAACTGTAGTGTATGTTGAGTATAGGCAATTGGTTTTGTTTCTGGATGCTTTCAAAGGGTCAGGGCTTTCTCTGTCCAGGATTTTTATGTATGAGTAATTCTTGTGTTTGGTTTCACAGGTGTATATGTAGCAGGATAAATTTTGATGTTGTAGTTTGGGATGTGATCCAATGCATAGTGCTTAAGAGTGATGGCCAGTGGCTAGCCTAATACCCAGTGGCATGGCTGTTTTATACTTCCTTTTGTTTGCAGGTGTGCTCTATAGTGGGGGTGGGAGAGATGCCTCCATCACCAGATGTGCTCCTGGGCCCTGGGGGAGTCTCCTGCAATCACTGTGTTTCTTGTGTTAGGTGTTCTAGGCCACAGGTCTCTCTCAGGCAGAGGCCCTTTCCTAGGAGCCATTCTGGGGAACTAGCTGTAGTGTTTGGGTTCCCTGCACAGGCTTCCTCCCTCTTCAGCTCAGCTTCATTGCTGCCTCTGCATCCACTCAGCATTTTCTCTCTCAAGATCTGCCTAAATTACGGTGGTTTACTCCATAATTTGGTATCTCTCAGTGGGGGTGGTGCTTCCTGACCATGTCAAATTGACCATGTATTGTCACAGAATGAAAACCTCTTTGATAGACTTTGTAACATTTTTGAATATTACATTCAGGAGTAAAATCTTACGCAGTGTGATCCCAGCTATCTCTTCACTTTTGAGAATAACCTTAAGTAATTAAAGGATAATTAAATATGTAATTAAAAATTGAAAAATATAACAGCTACACTTCCAGATGTCAACTTCTTTCAGAAAATTTTAAAATCTCTTTAAAGAAAGGTAAATTGAGACCAAAATAGATTAATAGCTTTATAAAAATAAGTGCTCAAGGAGGGTGTTACATGTGAAAATTAAACTTGGAATTTGTCATTTTACCCGTAAAATTACTGAGAGTAATTTCCTTGAAATGGAAATAACTTTACAAATTTTTAATTAACAAAAATGCTGAAATATTACTCCGCTTACCTTTATGTAACCTCTTCCTTGAAAACAACAATTTACTCATCTGGTGTGTGACTCTGATAACCTTCAATCATTCTCTATATCTGACACCATGACTAGTAACTTAGATCTTTAACTAAGCAACCTTTCTTTCCACCTTTGTGATATTATATCTAGTAATTTAATAACAGACAATCTATGTTGCAAATTAAACTTCCAAATTGAATAGTAATTTTCAAATCCCAAGGACCCATTTCTTCTGCCTCAATCTTAATTAGGTCTTAGTTAATAGAAAAATTAACTGGCTGGGTGCGGTGGCTCATGCCTGTAATCCCAGCACTTTGGGAGGCCAAGGTGGGCGGATCACCTGAGGTCTGAAGTTCGAGACCATCCTGGCCAACATGGTGAAACCCCATGTGTACTAAGAACACAAAAAATTGGCCGGGTATGGTGGTGGGTGGGTGCCTGTAATCCCAGCTACTCAGGAGGCTAAGGCAGGAGAATCACTTGAACTGGCGGGGTGGAGGATGCAGTGAACCGAGATCCCAGCACTGCGCTGCAGCCTGGGCAGCAACAGTGAAACTCCTCAGAAAAAAAAAAAAAGAAAAAGAAAAAAGAAAATTAACTAAATCAAGCCTAAATAAAACATATTCACAAAGTGGCAGACTTTTTTAATCCAAAAATTTAACTGTATTAATGTCTCATTTATAGAACATTATTTTACAATGAGGTTTTACACATCAATCAGTTGAGTCACTTCTTTTTTTTTTTGAGATGGAGTCTCGCTCTGTTGCCCAGGCTGGAGTGCAGTGGTGTGACCTCAGCTCACTGCAACCTCCACCTCCTGGGTTCAAGCGATTCTCCTGCCTCAGCATCCTGAGTACAGGCACTACAGGCACGTGAGCAAGAGAAGCTGACAGATTCAAATGTTCACAAACATTTATGTTCTATTTTGATAGATACATAAACTATGTTTCTCATTCTTATATACTTTATATTAGGGCATGGGATTAAAGTCAAAATAGTGGAAAATTAGTAGAAATAACATATTTTATATCCAATTAAGTCTCCAAAATCCCAACATGCACTCTTCTGTATACGTTTTTCAGTATGCTTGACTGGAACGGCCAATTCTACAGTAGTCTTGGAAGCAACATACTGCAGATTAAATACCTTAGTAGCCTATGTTCTTGAATGCGGACATAAAGGAGCAATGCTTTTCCTATCTTAAAAAAACAGTTTATATGAATGAAACTTCTGTTCTGTTTAAGATATTATATGTTGTTGAGTGTAGTTGTCAAAGCAACTAGCACGATTCCAAGTAATATAGAAATCACCAGCTTGAGTTGGGTCTGCCATAACAGCACCTAAAACGTATCCACTAAATTAGTATTAAATGGACAAGTAAACCAAACTCAGAGGGTTGAAATGAAGACTTGTAATACCCAGTGAAAAAAAATTATTGAAACTACCATCTAAAATTAATTGGAAGCTTAATATTACCTCTAGGAAAGAGTGTGGGAAATGAGGAAAGGCAAAAGGTAATGTGTTCATGTTTGTTCTGTTCCATAATCCAAGAAATAGATAAACACAGGCAAAAAAAAAAAAAAAAAAAAAAGAAAAAAGAAATATCCTGTCTTTAGAGTGGAAAGAAAGTGGATAGAGTTGAGTTGCTAAACCTTAGCATTATTGACATTTTATGCCTGATATTCCTGCATTCTGTGGGAGGTTATTCTTTGCATTGTAGGATATTAATAGTATCTTTAGGCTATACCACCACATACCAGTAGCATCACCACCTAATCATTATAATTCAAAATGTCTCCAGACACTGACAAGTGTTCTATGGAAACAAAGTCATTCCTTGTTGGAAACCACTTGTAAACAAAAAGTCTAGTAATGGTGGAATTATACAGTGACAGAAAAGCTCAGGTTTTTCTGATTAGGTTGAAAAAGCTGCTCAGAAATTAAATCCTACTGTGTTCATAAAAAACAAGGAACCCAGCCCTGAAGCAAAGAACTCATCAGGGAAGTTGTTTTCTCTTTCAAGTCTATGATTTCAAATGACCTTAAAGTGGTCATCTTTACAGTCAGAGAAGCATATGTGTGTTGGGGAGGAGAAAAAAGAAGGAAATGAGGCAGACTTTAGAATTATACCTAGGAAAGAACTGTATGTTTGGTTATAAACTAGATCCAATAAATAAATAAATGGTTTCCACATAACTACTTGGCAAAGGTACAATAAGCCTATTGTGAGAAAAAAAAATTAAGGCTTAAAATATCCTCAAGCATCCCAAATTGCACTAATCAGTGCAATTGATGAGTCATGCTGAGAAAACACTCATTGTTCTAATTTAAGATGGAGGCATGGAGAATAAGAGAAAATGTAAATTACCTCAGAAAGTAAATCTATGAGCCACAGGGACAATGGACCTTAAAGTTATTTCCACAGGACATGTTTATGGTTTCATCAAATAAATATTTGTACTGCTCAGAAATATTTTTGTCAGTGCTCTGCAGACTTCTTTGTCTTCTGATAGGAGCTTCACCATGGTAACTTAGATTTTACAGATAATTTGTCTTTTGACTTTATAGGACACTAGTCCTCGTTAAGTCATATAGTGGCCTGAGGGAGAGAACTGCACGTCATGAAACATCCTGAACTCTAAGTTGTAGGCAGTAACTGGGCAAAACTTTAAGTTGTTTACAGAGGGAAGAGAAGTGAATTTTTCATATATAAAGAAGTGTGCAAATTGTATTTCATGAGTAGTCTTTTGTCTTCTGGAATGGTGATATATACAAAGTAATCTGGGAAGATACAATTTGGTAATAGTAGATCCTTCGTTAACTTGAATTATTTTTTGCAGGAAAGATGCGTCTTTAGCCAAAATTACTTATGGTAAACTGTTATGTAAGCAAGAAATCACCTTCTACTTGGTTTAAGCTATTCAGTGTACTCTCTAGATAGATATGACACAAAGCTAGCATTATGATACAGTAAACCAAGTGTTAATGTAACTTTATGTTGATTTTGACTACATTCTGAAAATAATAAAAGTCATCTGGTATTTTAGGCTTACGATATGAACTTGATACTATGATAGGTGTCTGAAATGTTTATCTCATTTGATTCTTAGAACAAACTTATATTGTGGGTACTAATACAGTACTGATTTTTTAAATAAGAAAAAGGATTGCAAAAAATGTAAAAAGTCTTATTAAAGAGTACAAAATTCTATCTCCAAATGTGTAATGAATTTTATATAGTCAGTTAATATTTGTTTAGCTCAATAAAGTAATGTTCGGTGTAATAGTTGATTTCTTTAATGTTCATTCAGAATCACATTATCAATTTGAAATTAATTCACCTATTCGAAGAAGTTGCTTCCTCCAATTAAGACAGTATAGTAAGCAAAATAATGGTTTACAAAACAAACAAACCAACAAAAAAAAAACCGCATGTCCTGATTTCTGGAAGCTGTGAATATGTTAACTATCTGGTAAAAGGGGCTTTGCAAGTATTATAATGTTAAGGATGGTAAGATGAAAAAGTGTCCTTTTGAGTTCAGTGTAATCAAATGGGTTTAAACTAGGGAAACATTCTTGGCTAGAAACATAAGGTGGTATGATTTCAAAAGAATGGTCAGAGAGACACAGCATTTCTGGTTTGAACAAATGAAAGACCATAAGCTAACAAATCAGGACAGCCTCTGGAGGCTGGAAAAGTCAAGGAAACTGATTTTCCCCTAAAACCTTCAGAAAGGAACACAACAGTTCTCACTCTTTGATTTTAGCCTCATAAGATGCATTGCAGACATCTGACAAACACAATTGTTTGACACTATATTTGTGCTATTTTAAACCACTAACTTTGTAGTAATTGGCTACAGCAGCAGTAAGAAAATAATGCAGAGTGTTTCTATAATGGAGATAAAAGTATAAACAAGAGGCAAGGATTTCCTTCCTTCACAGTGTTTATAATATACTAAGAAAACAAACATTAAATACACAGGGCCCCAATAGATTATTCCACTTTAATTTTAGCTGGCACTGTGGAAGGAAAATAGAAATTCTAGAATATAGTGAATAGGAATATAACTTATTCTTATGTGGGAAGAAATGCTTATTACTGAATACTATTTGGGCTGAAAATAAATGCACTGTAGTTACAGTAAGTACAGTAAAAAAGGTAGTTTGCTATAAGGGAACAGAGCCATTGAAATGTAATGAAAGTCATCAAAGTTTTAGGCACTAACTATAAGTTGCAAGGAGTTAAACAATTGTAAGCAGTCCGATTATTAAAAAAATATGTGCCTGATTCTCAAAATCACAAGTATTCTTTAAGATTGCTAACCGTAGTAGTCAGTTTTCACAATGATATAAAGAATGACTTGAGACTGAGTAATTTATGAAGAAAAGAGATTTAATTGATTCATAGTTCTTCAGGCTTTACAGGAAGCATGAATGGGAGGACTCAGGAAACTCAGAAAATCATGGTGGAAGGCAAAGGGGAAACAAGGTTCTTCTTGACATGGCACCAGGAGAGAGAGAGCACAAGGAGGGAAGTGCCACACACTTTTAAACCATCAGATCTCTTGGAACTCACTCACTATCATGAGAATAGCATGTGGAAATCTGCTCCCATGATCCAGTCACCTCCACCCAGGCCCCTCTCTTGACATGAGGGGATTACAATTTGAGATGAGATTTGGGTGGGGACAGAGGGCCAAGCCATATTATTTCTCCTCTGGCCCCTCCCAAGTATCATGTCCTTCTCACATTTCAAAACCAATCATGCCTTCCCAACAGACTGGAAGTCTTAACTTATTCCAGCATTAACTCAAAAGTCCATGTCCAAAGTTTCATCTGAGACAAGGCAAATCGCTTCTGCCTATAAGCCTGTAAAATCAAAAACAAGTTAGTTAATTTCAAGACAACAGTGGGGGTACAGGGATCAGGTAAACACTCCAATTCCATAAGGGAGAAATTAGCCAAAACAAAGGGTCTGCAGGCCCCATGCAAGTCCAAAACCCGACAAGGCAGTCATTAAATCTTAAGGCTCTGAAACAATCTTCTTTGACCTCATCTCTCACGTCCAGAGCATACTGATGCAATATCTGGGCTCCCATGAGCTTTGACAGCTCTGCCTCTGTGGCTCTGCAAGGCACAGCCCCCACAGCTGCTTTCACAGGCTAGGATTGAGTGCCTGTGACTTTTCCAGGCACACTGTGCAAGCTGTCAGTGGATCTACCATTCTGGGGTCTGAAGCACTATGACCCTCTTCTCAAAGCTCCAGTAGGGAGTGCCCCAGTGGGGAATCTGTGTGGGGGCTCCAACCCCACATTTTCCCTCTGCACTGCCCTAGTAGAGGTTCTCCATAAGGGCTCCACTTCTGCAGCAGACTTTTGCTTAGACATCCAGGCATTTCCATACATCCTCTGAAATCTAGATGGAGGTTCCCAAACCTCACCTCTTCCCTTCTGCACAACCACAGGCCCAGCCTCATGTGGAAGCCACCAAAGCTTGAGGCTTGTATTCTCTGAAGCAATGGCCTGAGTAGTGCCTTGGACCCTTTTAGCCACAGTTGGAGCTGAGCAGCTGGAACACTGGGCACCATGTCCCGAGGCTGCCCAGAGCAGCAGGGCCCTGGGCCCATCCCACTAAACAATTTCTCCCTCCTAGGCCTCCAGGCTTATAATGGGAGGGGCTGCCTCAAAGGTCTCTGAAATGTACTGGAGACGTATTCCACATTGTCTTTGCCATTAACATTTGGCTCCTCTTTACTTATGCAAATTTTTGCTTGAATTTCTCCCAAGAGCGTGGGTTTTTCTTTTTTACTATATGGTTAGGCTGCAAATTTTCCAAACTTTTATGCTCTGCTTTCCTTTTAAATATACGTTTCAGTTTCAAGCCATCTCTTTCTTCATGGACATGAGCATAAACTTTTAGAAGCAGCCAGGCCACATGTTGGAAGGTCTGTTGCTTAGAAATTTGTTTCACCAGATACCCTAAATCATCTCTCTGAAGTTCAACATTACACAGATCTCTAGGGCCGGGTCAAAAGGCTGTCAGTCTCTTTGCTAAAGCATAGCAAGAGTAACTTTTTCTTCAGTTCTCAATGAGTTCCTCATCTCCATCTGAGACCCCCTCAGCCTGGACTTCGTTATCCAAATCATTATCAGCATTTTGTTCACAACCATTCAACAGGTCTCTAGGAAGATTTAAACTTTCCCATATCTCCCTGTCTTCTTCTGAGTCCTCCAAACTGTTTCCTACCTCTGCCTGTTACCCAGTTCCAAAGTTACTTCCATATTTTCAGGTATTTTTATAGCAATGCCCCACTTCTCTGGTACCAATTTTCTGTATCTATCTCTTCTCAAACTGCTATAAAGAACTACTGGGTAATTTATGAGGAAAAGAGGTTTAATTGACTCACAGTTCTGCAAGCTTAACAGGAAGCACGACTGGGAGGCCTCAGGAAACTAACAATCATGGCAGAAGGTAAAGGGGGAGCAGGTGCCTTCTTCACATGGTGTCAGTAGAGAGAAGAGCCGGGGGGAAGTTCCACACACTTTTAAACCATCAGATCTTGTGAGAACTCACTGACTGTCACGAGAACAGTATGGGAAATCCACCCCCATGATCAAATCACCTCCTACCAGACCCCTCCCCTGACACGTGGGGATTACGATTCAACATGAGATTTGTGTGGGGACACAGAGCCAAAGTATATCACTCACCTAATAAGTGCTTATCTTGATTAAATTGTATGGAAAACTACAACTTAAATTATGTGATCAGAAATTCTATCTAATGATAGACATTAATTCAAATGCCACCATGTTCTCCTGTCAGCTTCTCATATATTGTCATGGATATGATTTAATTGTCCTTCAGTGTCATGGAACACATCCTGAGATTCAGCTGATGAAGTTGCAAACTGGATAAATATAAATGATGATGTTTCAAAAAAGAAAATCCTCACTTAGTAAAAAAATGTTAGGTTTATTTTACACTTTCTTGACAGCTGAACTAATATAAAAAGCACTCACCTTGTTTCTTTCAGTTTTGTGTATGTTTTGATTGTGTCAGCTGAGTTCTTCTTCACGGGATTTTCTATGTGTCAGAGACACTTGTCCCCCATTCTGTTTTCCTGTGTAATCTCAAAATTGACAAGGGTCTTCACTGTATGTGAAAAGGATGTCTGTGTTGCTTGATTTTATGTGTGACTACTGTTTGCGATTGTCCTTTTCCCAATATGACATGTAATTTTACAGCACAGATAGTTTTTCAAAAGAATTACATTCCCAGGCTTAGCAGAGGGAGCGGCCTACTTATTGAAATGTGAAATCGAATCTCTGAAACAGAAACACCAAATTATTATACTAATCTGTAAAGTAGCTATAAAACGTTATTTTTCAGAGTGAAGTATCTGTCAAGATGGCTAGTTTTGGTGTATAATAGAAACGGTATTTTATTCCTTTTATTTCTGTAAACAGATTAAGTCTGTGTGTGTGTGTGTGTGTGTGTGTGTGTGTGTGTGTGTGTGTGTACATGGGATATAATACAAATCTACCTCGACTTATAATGAGTTACATCCTGATAACCACAGGCCAAGATGTGTTATGATGGATCTGGATATACTCATAAGTTGAAAATATTTTAGGTAAAAAATGCATTTAGTACATTTAACAAAAATACTGGCAAACCGAGTCCAGCAGCACATCAAAAAGCTTATCCACCAAGATCAAGTTGGCTTCATCCGTGGGATGCAAGACTGGTTCAACATACGCAAGTCAATAGATGTAATCCATCACATAAAGAGAACCAAAGACAAAAACCACAAGATTATCTCAATAGATGCGGAAAAGGTCTTTGACAAAATTCAATAGCCCTTCATGCTGAAAACTCTCAATGAACTAGGTATTGATGGAACATATCTCAAAATAATAAGAGCTATATATGACAAACCCGCAGCCAGTATCATACTGAATGGGCAAAAACTGGAAGCTTTCCCTTTGAAAACTAGCAGAAGACAGTGATGCCCTCTCTCACCACTCCTATTCAACATAGTGTTGGAAGTTCTGGCCAGGGCAGTCAGGCAAGAGAAAGAAATAAAGGGCATTCTATTAGGAAAAGAGGAAGTCAAATTGTCCCTGTTTGCAGGTGATATGATTGTATATTTAGAAAACCCCATCATCTCAGCCCAAAATCTCCTTAAGCTGATGAGCAACTTCAGCAAAGTCTCAGGTTACAAAATCAGTGTGCAAAAATCACATGCATTTGTATACACCAATAACAGACAATCAGAGAGCCAAATCATGAGTGAACTCCCATTCACAGTTGCTACAAAGAGAATAAAATACCTAGGAATCCAACTTACAAGGGATGTGAAGGACCTCTTTAAGGAAAACTACAAACCACTGCTCAACGAAATACAAGAGGACACAAACAAATGGAAGAACATTCCATGCTCATGGGTAGGAAGAATCAATATCGTGAAAATGGCCATACTGCCCAAGGTAATTTATAGATTCAATGCCATCCCCATCAAGCTACCAATGACTTTCTTCACAGAATTGGAAAAAACTAAAGTTCATATGGAATCAAAAAAAGAGCCCATATTGCCAAGACAATCCTAAGCAAAAAGAACAAAGCTGGAGGCATCACGCTACCTGACTTCAAACTATACTACAAGGCTACAGTAACAAAAACAGCATTTTACTGGTACCAAAACAGAGATATAGACCAATGGAATGGAACAGAGGCCTCAGAAATAACGCTAAACATTTACAACCATCTGATGTTTGACAAACCTGACAAAAACAAGAAATGGGAAAAGGATTCCCTATTTAATAAATGGTACTGGCTAGCCATATGTAGAAAGCTGAAACTGGATCCCTTCCTTCACCTTATAGAAAAATTAATTCAAGATGGATTAAAGACTTAAATGTTAGACCTAAAACCATAAAAACCCTAGAAGAAAACCTAGGCAATACCATTCAGGACATAGGCATGGGCAAGGACTTCATGTGTAAAACACCAAAAGCAATGGCAACAAAAGCCAAAATAGACAAATGGGGTCTAATTAAACTAAAGAGCTTCTGCACAGCAAAAGAAACTACCATCAGAGCGAACAGGCAACCTACAGAATGGGAGAAAATTTTTCCAATCTACCCATTTGACAAATAGCTAATATCCAGAATCTACAAAGAACTTAAACCAATTTACAAGAAAAAAACAAAGCCATCAAAAAGTGGACAAAGGATATGAACAGACACTTTTCAAAAGAAGACATTTATGCAGCCAACAGACACATGAAAAAATGCTCATCATTACTGGTCATCAGAGAAATGCAAATCAAAACCACAATGAGATAGCATCTCACACCAGTTAGAATGGCGATCATTAAAAAGTCGGGAAACAACAGGTGCTGGAGAGGATGTGGAGAAATAGGAATGCTTTTACACTGTTTGTGGGAGTGTAAACTAGTTCAACCATTGTGGAAGTCAGTGTGGCAATTCCTCAAGTATCTAGAACTAGAAATACCATGTGACCCAGTGATCCCATTACTGGGTATATACCCAAAGCATTATAAATCATGCTGCTATAAAGACACATGCACATGTATGTTTATTGCGGCACTCTTCACAATAGCAAAGACTTGGAACCAACCGAAATGTCCATCAATGATAGACTGGATTAAGAAAATGTGGCATACATACACCATGGAATACTATGCTGGCATAAAAAATGATGAGTTCATGTCCTTTGTAGTGACGTGGATGAAGCTGGAAACCATCATTCTGAGCAAACCTTCGCAAGGACGGAGAACCAAACACCGTGTGTTCTCACTCATAGGTGGGAATTGAACAACGAGAACACTTGGACACAGAGTGGGTAACATCACATGCTGGGGCCTATTGTGGGGTGGGGGGATGGGTAGGGATAGCATTAGGAGAAATACCTAATGTAGTTAATGAGTTAATGGGTGCAGCAAACCAACATGGCACATGTATACATATGTAACAAACCTGCAAGTTGTGCACATGTGCCCTAGAACTTAAAGTATTAAAAAAAAATACACTTAAGAAATGTGCTCAGAACACTTACATTAGCCAGTCCAAAAAAAAAATCTAACCTAAAGCCTATTTTTAAATAAAGTGTTGAATATCACATGTAAATTATTAAATACTGAATGTGAAAAACGGAATGGGTATATGGGTAATAAAAGCATTGTTTCTACTGAATGTTTATCACTTTTGTACCATGATGAAGCTGTAAAGTTGTACCATTGTAAATCTGGGACCATCTGTGTTACATTCAAGAGAAAAGCTCAGTCGAACTAATAAATAAATCAAAATTTCTTCTGATTATTTAGGTGTTTTTTCCTGTTAGATAATTAAGACATCCAACTGTTGCTTGCTGCTTCACCACACAGACCATACACAGATACAAATACACACTCCATGAATGAGCGTATGTGCTTGTTTAAAGAGACATACTAACCAAACAGTTGTATGCTGCCGTGATATTGATTATGTCATCAAGTTCCTTATTTAACAAAACAGAGCTGTGTATGAAGTATTTCTCTAAAATGTACATTCAATAGCAACTGGTTTTGTTCAGTCTTATGTACCCATATTATTTAAATGAGCACCTGGAGTCTAGAATTAACTAAAAAATATCTATGTTGATGCATATTAAGTTGATTTTGAAGTCATAAATTTTGACAAGAATTGATACTATGGCACTGTCATAACTTTACAAAAGATGACCTGAACTAACATGATTTTATGCTTTTACCAGTGGAACTCCCTGAAATATATTCAGATAATTTGTTATTAAAGCAAAACTAAGTTTATTGAAACCCTGTGCCAAGAAAGTACACCATTTTGACATACTTTTGCAGTGTTTCAGCAGGGAAGAGTGAGAGGAAGATTTTTCATGTTTGTGGAGAATGGCTTAAGAGAGTTAAATGAGTCTTTCAAAGTGAGTAGCTGATTGAAATTGAGCTAAACTCAGAGCATAATAGTTTAGATAGTCTAAGAAATTGAAAAAAAAGTTGATGCCAAGCATACAAGAAATAACACCACCAAAAAATAGACCTAAATACAGACAAAATTAGATTAAAAACAAGAATATGTTCAATGTTAATAAAAGCAAAAGGAACATAGACATAGTTATGGAGGAGTTTTGTTTTGTTTTAATAAGATAAAAATATGGTTAGTTTTATAGCAATACACCTGGAAATCTGGATCAATTCTGTCCACTATAGTCATTACTAGTGACATGTAGATATTGAACACTTGAAATATGGTGGATTTGAATTGATTTATGCTATATGTAAAATACAAACTAGATTTAGTTTAAAAAATGTAAAACTGAATAATTTTAATATTGTTTTATGCTGAGATGACAATATTTTGGATATACTGGATTAAATACATATAAAATATTGTTAAAAATCAAGTAGTATAGTAAAATTGGTCTTTTTGTTTTACTTTTTTATTTTGTTTTGGTTTTTGAAGGGATAGAAATCATGGCTAAGATGGACCCTGGGGCATATCATTGACCATCATGAAACATGCACTGATTTGCCAAATGTATTATTTTCCTGTGGCTGTTATAAAAATCACAATACACTTAGTAGTTTAAAACAACATAAATTTATTGTCTAGCAGTATTCCAGGTTAGAAGTTCAACACAGGTCTTACTGATTTAAAATCAAAGCATTGGAAGACTGCATTCCTTCTATAGGCTCTGTGGAATAATCCATGACCTGGCCTTTCCCAGGCTTTAGAATCCAGCTGCATTCTTTGATGCATGTTCCCTGTCTTGGGCAGCTTGGAATACTGTAAGAAAATACCATAGACCGGGTGACTTAAACAACTGACATTTATTTCTCAGAGTTCTGAAAGTTGGGAAGTCCAAGATTAAGGTGCTGGTATATTTGGTTCATGGTGAGGGCCCACTCCCTCTCTGGTTAGTAGATGGCCTCCTTCTCTCTGTGTTCACATGGCCTTTCCTGGATACATGTTTACGGAGAGAGAAAGAGAAGGGTGGTTGGGTGGGAGGTGGTCTAGTATCTCCACCTTTTCTTATAAGAACACTAACATTATCATGAGAACACCACACTTAGGACATTATCTCAACCTAGGTTCCTCCCAAAAGCTCCATCTCCAGATACTATCACACTGCCAATTAATAGATCATTGAAAATAATCTATTAATATTTGAACAATGCCAATCATCTTCAATAGATTAATTTTAGGGAGACACAAATATTCAGTTCATAACAGTTCCTTTCCTTGACCTTCAAAGCTACAAATGAAGGAGCAAGTCTTCACATTCTCCTTTTATATCTCCCTCTTCTACGTGTAAAGAATCTTATGATTGCATTTGGCCATCTAAAAATCTATGATAGTCTCTCCATTTCAAAATCCTTAACTCTAATTGCATTTGCAAAGTCTGTCCTGCCAGGTAAGCTAACAAATTTATAAATTATCTGGATTAGGACCGCATCATCTCTGAAGAGCCATTATTCTGACTACCACATCAGTATGTTAGTTTATGTCAAGATTGCTGTAATAATCAATAGGTTCTGGTACCACAAATCCAGTAGCAGTCATTAAGGTTGATTGAGTTTATTGATTGCTTTCAGCTCCATTCTGCTATTAATCACTTTTGGGGATATAAAATGAAGACCTTATCACATAGAGGAAGAGGTAGATGTGATAGGAGCTTGAATATGTAATAAGAATTTTTTATGATATGTAAATGTGAGAAATGAATTAAGTATGTGCCATTTGTTCTCTTCTTTTTAAGACATTTCTTTCTAAAGGTTTAGTGACAGAAGTTGCATTCTATTAAAGATCCCTAAGTGCTGTTCTGCTGTAGGCATAAGCTTTCTTTCCTGGGTGCAGCATGTTAGGATTTAAGATTTCTATTTATCTAATACTCTGCTGTTTGTCAGATAAAATAACAATAAATAGTGAGTCCAATTATTGATAAACCCAGATGTTTCATATTTAGGAATCGATGTTAAAAAAAAAAACTCTAATTGGCATCCTAAGGAAAATGTGTGCAGCTTAGCACTGATTCAACTGCATGTTTAGCCAAATTGTGAACAAATTACGGCCAGCTTCCGGACTCTTCTAGAGAGTGACTAAGGACGGCATAGAGGAATTAGGAATAGTAGCTTTATAGGTAAAGTAATTAAATGTAACCTTAAGCATAAAAAGATAAAGTTAACTAGGAAAATGAAAACTCAAGATATACAGATTAAATATGACAAACAATGGATCTTTTTTTGTGGATCTTGGTTTGCAGATACCGATATCTCATATAGTGATTCACTTGATCCAAAGGCATTTGATGGAAGCTGTCTTCTCCCAAAGACTATTTGCTTTTGGAAGAATCCTAAGAGTCATTAGTTAGAAGTTTTTGGTAGGGATACTTTCCTGTAATATGAAGATGACCTAAACCTCTTTACTTGAGAGATAGGAATCAAAGGATCAGTCTTTTAAAGACTATGGGTTTGCTAGTTGTTAGCTGTGCCTGATAGTGACTTTTTTCCTATGATCTTTCCCTGCCGTGTCTCTTAGAAGACAAGGTATCCAGGTATGAAAACCAATTTTGCAGACATTGTTTAGGATACTAATGGGGAAAGTCTTCAGTAACTTTTGTTGAAAGAATGGATTTCCTGAGTCCTTACAGCATTTAGTTAAATAAGTGTAGATTTCTAGAATCAGAGCTAATATTCCTAGACACTTGGTTTAGCTGTTACTAACTCATGAACCACAGAAAGAAGAAATACCTTAGACCATGCAAGTTTGACGATGTCTGTGAACTTTACCAACTTTAGTTTCAGAATTCCATCTTTCTACCTTCCCAAAAGGTTGAAAGTGATATGGACAGTGAAGTCTGATTAATTGACAGAACTTTTCCATGTTAATAAAAATTCCGGTAAAATGGTTTCCTTGTTACTAGAGATATAGTTTGGGATTCCCCAGGCTGAAAAAAAAAAAAAGGATTTTCTCCATGCCAACAAGAGACAAATAATGATCAGAACATATTTAAAATCTATTGCCAGCACTTGTTATGAAAAATTCATTTAGATTTTTACTGAGACATTTTACAGTTTTGTTAGGATTAATCTGACGAAGGTTGAGACAAGTTGTAAGGATATAGTTATATAAAGATATACTTACCAATTTTAGCAAAATTTTCCTCCAGCTATTGGTTAAATACATTGGTCAATTTGTCCTCATTGTGCCAGAAAAGCTCAGCAGTTCTGACTAAAGTTTATGTTAACCCATTGCCAGTAGAATGAAAGAGTTGAATCCTCTCTTAAATTATAATATATAGTTGACTCCTCAACAACACAGGTTTGAACTGTGCAGGTCTGCTCATATGTAGATTTTTTCCTATAAATATATTAGAAAATTTTTGGAGATTTATGAAAAATTGAAAAAGATAACAGGTGACCCATCTACACAAGAAATATTAAAAAACTAAGAAAACGATGTCATGAATGCATAAATCATATGTAGATACTAGTGATCATTTAATACAATGAGATATATATGCGTCTATTATAAAAAGTTAAAATTTATCAAGACGTAGGCAAACACAGAGCATACATGCAGCCAATTGAAGTTTAGAGAAAAGTAAAACAAAAATATACAAAAGTAAATCATAACTGCACAAAATTAACTGTAGTACATACTGTACTACTGGGATAATTTCCTAGCCTCCACCTGTTGTTCTTGCAGTGAACTCAAGTGTTGTGAGTATTCACTTAAAATGCCACATAATGCTAATCATCTTCTTGTGAGTAGCTTGTCTCTCCAGTAAATTAACACAGTAAAAAGTGTTCTCTCATGTTTCTCCTGTATTATTCATGATGTCTAGTGCAATACCATAAACCTTGAATAACACCTTCAGACCTATAAAAAGTGCTGCTAGTGATGCTGAAAGTTCTTCCAGGAAACAGAGAAGGGTCCTGACATTACAGGAAAACAATGAATTGCTTGATAGGTACCCTAGATTGAGGCCTGCAGCTGTGTGTGCTGCCATTTCAGAAGAAGGATCCATCTTGTAAACACAGGATTGTAAACTTATGAGAGAAATAAATATACTGTAGTACTGTAAACGTATTTTTTCTTCCCTATAATTTTCTTAATAACACTTTCTTTTCTGTAACTAGCTTCATTGTAAAACTACGGTGTAAAATACATACAGCGTATGAAATATGTGTTAAGGATTGTCCAGTCAACAGTAGGCTGTTAGTTTAGTTTTGGGGAGTCCAAAGTTATATGTGAATTTTTGACTGTGCTGGGGTGGTGGGGAGGGGTTAGGGAGGTTTGATGGCCCTAAACCTTGTGTTTTTCAGGAGTCAACTGTACAATTTAGAAGAATATGATTTAGAATTTCCCTGAGATTAAGAACATATTAAATGGTGGGAAGGATATTGATAGACCTCTAGATCTAGTGACACTATCAACTTTGACTGTGTCTGTTTGATGAAGGAATTAAAATCTAGTAACAAAAGCATTTTGTAGATAGTTATTGTACCAGTCTTTGTTCTTGAACATCAGTGTGTTTTTTTGAACTGAAAATCACACATTGAATGAAAGGCTTCATCTCAATATATTTTATTTACACATAAATTTGAGCTGTTTTTTGTTCACAAGTTTGGCCGATAAAAGAGCCCTCACAATAGCTTTAATTACCATTTAAAATTACAAATTAATGTGATTTTTTAATTTTTCTCTCTTTTGTAGGGTGAAGGAGCAATGCTTTTGGTTACTCAGTATTCTCTCAAGAAAATTTAAAGATAGTTTATACATAGAAGATATTTTAACAGGCTATATTCTGAACTTGTGGCCCGGATTTGGAAAAAGCAATATATCAAGTATGGTTCAAGGGGACAAGAAAGAGAGAAGCATTTGTTACCATTTTTCCAAGTCAAAAATATTTAATCAGATAATATTTTAAAAGCCAGCAATAATTAGTAATGATTGGTATAATGTTTTTGTCAAAATTATTAAATAGGAGATAAAATTAAAAGCTTTATTTTTTTGCATTCAAATAAAATTTTAAGTATTTTGATGAGCATATTAAATCAACAATGCATGTATTACATTGAACCTGACTTCTTAATAAGTTGCAACCAAATCTTTAATGATAAGTTTAGGTCAGAGAGATAATTTTGAGATTTGTCACCATAAAGATAGGGTATAATGTGATGTAAATAATTAAGATCAGGTGGAAAGACAAATAAGATTGAAGGAAGACCCAAGACCAAGGTTTGAGGCACTCTCAGAAGTTCTAAAAAAAAAATTTAGACTATGAGTAAAGAAGGATTGATCAGCAAGGTGAAATGGATCAAGGAAATGTGGGCACTCAGAGGTACAGAGGGGTTAATTGCTGCTCAGAAAATACTCAGACGAATGCTGAACAATAGATTAGATAGAACCGATGTCCTAGAAATCATGAAGATAAGTGACTTTATTAAAATACATATTATAAACAAAGAAGGAATTTACTGTTCGAAAAGTTGTCTTGAAGAATTGTTTTGGGAGAAAATAAAAAATAAACCTTATTTTCTAAAATACACTAAAACTAATTCCAAATGAGTCAAAGGATTGTGTACAGATATTTTAAATTAATAAAACAATGTTAGTGCAGATTCTCTTTAATTACTTCCCTGATTGTTTTACCTATAGTAACTCATTTAATTCTACTAGCAATCTTTTCATGTTGGATACAGCTATTCAAATTTTCTTTTGTTATTGCAATAGCCTCCTAACCATTCTTCCACAAAATTGAGGCACTAAAAGGTTGTGAAATTTCCTCTATGCCACAGAGCTTTTTAGTGATGATTTGGCATTTGGAAGCACATCTTTGAAATGTTCATTTTTCTCTGATGGCCAGTGATGGTGAGCATTTCTTCATGTGTTTTTTGGCTGCATAAATATCTTCTTTTGAGAAGTGTCTGTTCATGTCCTTCGCCCACTTTTTGATGGGGTTGTTTGTTTTTTTCTTGTAAATTTGTTTGAGTTCATTGTAGATTCTGGATATTAGCCCTTTGTCAGATGAGTAGATTGTGAAAATTTTCTCCCATTCTGTAGGCTGCCTGTTCACTGTGATGGTAGTTTCTTTTGCTGTGCAGAAGCTCTTTAGTTTAATTAGATCCCATTTGTCAATTTTGGCTTTTGTTGCCATTGCTTTTGGTGTTTTAGACATGAAGTCCTTGCCCACGCCTGTGTCCTGAATGGTAATGCGTAGGTTTTCTTCTAGGGTTTTTATGGTTTTAGGTCTAACGTTTAAGTCTTTAATCCATCTTGAATTAATTTTTGTATAAGGTGTAAGGAAGGGATCCAGTTTCAGCTTTCTCCATATGGCTAGCCAGTTTTCCCAGCACCATTTATTAAATAGGGAATCCTTTCCCCATTGCTTATTTTTCTCAGGTTTGTCAAAGATGAGATAGTTGTAGATATGCGGCGTTATTTCTGAGGGCTCTGTTCTGTTCCATTGATCTATATCTCTGTTTTGGTACCAGTACCGTGCTGTTTTGGTTACTGTAGCCTTGTAGTATAGTTTGAAGTCAGGTAGCGTGATGCCTCCAGCTTTGTTCGTTTGGCTTAGGATTGACTTGGCAACGCGGGCTCTTTTTTGGTTCCATACGAACTTTAAAGTAGTTATTTCCAATTCTGTGAAGAAAGTCATTGGTAGCTTGATGGGGATGGCATTGAATCTATAAATTACCTTGGGCAGTATGGCCATTTTCACGATATTGATTCTTCCTACCCATGAGCATGGAATGTTCTTCTATTTCTTTGTATCCTCTTTTATTTCATTGAGCAGTGGTTTGTAGTTCTTCTTGAAGAGGTCCTTCCCATCCCTTGTAAGTTGGATTCCTAGGTATTTTATTCTCTTTGAAGCAATTGTGAATGGGAGTTCACTCATGATTTGGCTCTCTGACTGTCTGTTATTGGTGTATACAAATGCGTGTGATTTTTGTACATTGATTTTGTAACCTGAGACTTTGCTGAAGTTGCTCATCAGCTTAAGGAGATTTTGGGCTGAGACAATGGGGTTTTCTAGATATACAATCGTGTCATCTGCAAACAGGGACAATTTGACTTCCTCTTTTCCTAATTGAATACCCTTTCTTTCCTTCTCCTGCCTAATTGCCCTGGCCAGAACTTCCAACACTATGTTGAATAGGAGTGGTGAGAGAGGACAAATCAAAACCACAGTGAGATACCATCTCACACCAGTTAGAATGGCAATCATTAAAACGTCAGGAAACAACAGGTGCTGCAGAAGATGTGGAGAAATAGGAACACTTTTCCACTGTTGGTGGGACTGTAAACTAGTTCAACCATTGTGGAAGTCAGTGTGGCGATTCCTCAGGGATCTAGAACTAGAAATACCATTTGACCCAGCCATCCCATTACTGGGTATATACCCAAAGGACTATAAATCATGCTGCTATAAAGACACATGCACACGTATGTTTATTGCGGCACTATTCACAATAGCAAAGACTTGGAACTGACCCAAATGTCCAACAATGATAGACTGGATTAAGAAAATGTGGCACATATGCACCATGGAATACTGTGCAGCCATAAAAAATGATGAGTTCATGTCCTTTGTAGGGACATGGATGAAATTGGAAATCATCATTCTCAGTAAACTATCGCAAGGACAAAAACCCTAAGACCGCATGTTCTCACTCATAGGTGGGAATTGAACAATGAGAACACATGGACACAGGAAGGGGAACACCACACGCTGGGGACTGTTGTGGGGTGGGGGAAGGGGGGAGGGAAAGCATTAGGAGATATATCTAATGCTAAATGACGAGTTAATGGGTGCAGCACACCAGCATGGCACATGTATACATATGTAACTAACCTGCACATTGTGCACATGTACCCTAAAACTTGAAATATAATAATAATAAAATTTAAAAAAAATGTTCATTTTTAATTATAGCACTACACCATGCACTGAATCACGGAGGGTAAAAATGCACACTGTTAATAAGAAGGAGGGAGTCAATCTCATTAGTATTATAATATTTATACTGAATGAGACTCCATTCCCGAAATTCACAGAATTAAAATAATAAAAATAAAAATTTATTGCTAGCCAATTTGCAGCAAAAAAGATTCATTCTCATATTCTGCTATGAGAAAATAAATGAAATTGAATTTTAAAAGACATTTTTGGAAAGCCCTTTGAATTAACCAGAAAATTGTTAAATTCGTAGTTTTTTTGACTAACATTCTTCTTCCACGTTAACAGAATTTATATATAAGTGACACTCATTGCATATACTTTTAAGGGGTAAAATAATTACTAAATTTATGTACACTATTAATACTTCATTGTATAAAATTGCATATATACCCATATGCAAATGTGCACAGAATCAATAGGGTAACCATAGACATAAAATGATCAGTGCAGGATATTTTATTTATGCATTTTATATATAATATACTTTTCATTTAATATTTTTGCTAATTTTATTGAATTGAATATTTATGCCTTGGTTATAGAACAACTAAATTTATTTTCAAAGAAACTCCATTATTATTGTCTGCAAGAGTAAAACTTATAAACAATCTAAAAATTCAACCAAATACAACCATTTACAATTGTGCCCTGGTTGAATTTGTAATCATAGGAGAAAACACAGGTGTTGAATTTTTTGAATTTCATTTAAAAAATAATTGACACAATCCCTAAGGTATCATATAAATTAATTGAATTGTTATTGTCTTGGGTTAACATTTATTTCTAGAGTTTTTTTTCCCCTAATATCTGATTTTTTCCATTAACATTACTTATTTGGATAATCAGAAAAAAATCAACATTGCCAAAAGATAGATAATACCACAAGCGAAATATCTATGATAATGATAGGAAAATGCTTTGAATTCAGGCTGAATGAGAATTAGTCTAGGAAAACAGCTTGGACCCTCTCATTCCTGTTAATGTCATCTCTGTGTTTAGCACTGCTGCTATTCCTCAGCTACTAAGAAATGCTCTATTGCTGGGCATGGCATATGGGAAGCCAAGAAAAATGACTGGCTGCTTGGTGACAGCTCTCTAGTCCTCATGCCAAGTTCTGCCAGTGATTTAAATATTAAGTAATGGAAAGAATTTTGAAATCCAGGATGATTAGAAAAGTCATTTTCTACAAAAGTGAAGCATTGTCTTTAGAGATTAAAATCTATGAAAATAACATTATTGAAATACTAGACTTCAGACTATTTTTCTGAATTACTGTAACTGTTGAAATAGGTCTTTCAGCCCATTAAGATAAACACCACACTTTTCTCTTCATGATCTCCAGCTGTAATTTTATAGTGAAAGGTGCTTGCATAAAAGAGTTCACACTATCTGAAAGATGTCACATGTAACATTGACTGGCAGCCATTTCAGAATGGCAGACAGCCAATAAATCATTCAGAACTATGTGTCACTCGTTGTGGCTTTAAAATTGTATTCCTTCTCCTTTGATAAAGAACATTTCAATGTCAAATAGTTTGTTCTATTTAAACTTATACATCAACCAGAATATTGAGATACACAATAAAATTAAATGATTTGGTAATACCTTTAGAATTTATCTAAAAACAGCCGTATGTATTTGCATGACAGATTTGGTTCACAAACCGATCAAGTTGTTAGTATCAAAGGCATGTTTTAGTGCTGATTTGTGTATAGATAAATTTAGGAAATTACATAAATAGAAATACTTCTTTATAAAATTCCTTGACCTTGTGATATCTTGGTATTAAGAATCTTAAAGGAATCATTTAAAAAAATTCAAAAGCAAACAATTTCGATTTTACAAGAGCTAAGAAAAAAACATTTTGCTATGGACACAGATCGCTCTTCAAGAAAAGATTTCTTTCCCCCTTGGCTGCTAGGAGCAATATTACAAAGCAGCCTTCAGCTCTCAGCTCCTTCAAAGTTTGCCTCAGCTGTAACCATTGTCTGGCTCAATGTTAGGTCATCCTGGAGCACTGGACATGCAAACACGAATGGAGATGAGGTTATAAAGCCTGGCCATTTTGACCCACCTGAGAGGATTCTGACAGGTCCTTCCAGTGCCTGAGAAACCCAGGGCTCACATGCTTTATATTCTGATCATTCTGTAGGGGTTGTTCCCATGGGTGATAGAAGCTGCCAAATATAAAGAGGCAACCATGCAAATTTTTAGGAATTATTTCCAAAACTCTCATAACAACATCATATATATTTATTGGTTGTTTAAGTAGATTTCTGAGGAGTAGATAGCAACGATAGAAGTGAAAGAAAGTAAATGCAGTTGTTAAAGGATTAGTCTTCCCATACTTAGAAAGTACACAAGTTGCATATACACTATGTTCCTTCCCTAGAGCAAGTATTTCAATGCAGTCATGTGTGTGTGTTTGTGTGCTTGTGTGTGTGTGGTGTGTGTGTGTGTGTGTGTATGCTAACTGAACTCATTATAGATTTTATTGGATCAGATATATGAAGAGACTTGGAAGACTTGGGTTTGTCTGGAACTGGGTGAAATAGAGAAGGACGATCATTGACATAGAAAGCTGATTACTTTGTCCTTTGAGTATAAATAGTCTTACAATAAAATGGCATCTCCACTGTCTAAAACACATTTTTACATTTGCTCTCCTTCTGAAATTATTTATGTGAAATTAACAAATGTACTTATTACCTTAGAAACAAACGATCCGTAATTTATATTATTTATTGTATATTTGTAGATCCACTTAAAATTGATTTGCAATATAAGGAAAAAATGCGTTTTATAAGTTGTTTGCTTTGTGTAGTGCATCTTGTTAACCGTAGGACTACTGTTGCATTGAAACAAAATAGAATTAATCTGTTCAGGTAAATAGAACTGGAAGTGAGATTTGTTGTCACTCCTTCTCCTTCAAGTACTGACCAGTCTTTTAATTCACACATAACTAACACTCTGTGCAATAATATTTTTTTGTTCTCTGTCTTTTCAAACAGAACTCAAGCTCCATGAGGAGATGTTTCATTGTCGGTGAGCACATTCTTGTCAATTAGTTCCTTCTTGTTTCTTACTATAGCCCCTGTGTCTAGAACCTTTCCAGGTATTCAGTAGCCATTTAAAAATTATTTGTTGAATGAATTGTTATTTTAAAGAACATCCACAAGTTTTGCCTGACTGGGCATGGGAATACATGCCCATCTTTGGACTGAATGTCCATTTTTCCCTTCTTTGATTTATCAAAATATTGGTTAAATGATCAGGACTACCGTCAGAAGGAATTTTATATCTAAAAATAGTTTACCTTCTATGGATGTAAAAAATAGTTGTAGTAGTTCTGGCTTTTATATTATTCGATGTTTCAAAGCGGTTTTTTTTTTCCATCACCATATTCTACGTTCTTGAAAAGTACTCGTTCATGTGACTGCTATCATTTATGCTTGTGCAGCACGTAGATACAGGAGAGAAGATAAGGAAAATGCTTACCCTGTGTCTCCTTCCCTGTAACACAGTTTTTTTTACCATATTGATTCTCCACTTTCTACTCCCTAAGTAAAATTTTGCAACAGGCATTTGGGAAACTCTGGATACAAGAAAAAAATTTTAATATTGTACAAAGAGACAAGAGGTGACTTCTTTTTTATTTTTCATTTAGAGTTTATAGTTTAATTAAAGAAAATGCACATATATCTAAAGATAATCATGGATAATACACTCATGTAATTACTACTTTCAGTGGTTGTAACAACAGCCAAAGCACAAACAGAAATGAGAAAGAATTATCAGCATTATGCAAGTACATATCCTCTTTAAGAATTCCTGTTATAGTGAAAGCATTAAAATAATTGAACACGTACAGAGACCATATACTTTGTGATCTTTTTAAAAAAGTATTCAAAATATATTTCTGTGTGCAAAACATTTTCATAATGGTCTTGTTTAAATGAAAGTATTTAGAATAGCACATTGTAAAATTATGCTGCAGAGCACAAGTATTTTTCTCTTTAGAAGACACATAATAAAATAGAATCATCAGTGTTTTTTCATAAACATGAATCTTTAGAGTGTTACTTGATCCTGCACAATAAGGGTACTTTTTTGCTTAATGTAAGCATAGTATACTAATTCTTTTAAACTTCAGAAAGCATATTTACAGTCTAGGCAGATGGGACATGAAGGTCACACAGCATGAGCAGTGAAATATCTCATTTACCTAGAGTTCTAGAGAGAATTTTAGGAACTCTTATTTATTATCAGTGCATAAACAAGAGTAAACTCTACAAAACTGTTTGCAAAACTCTCCTCTTTCTACTCAGAAGGCTTTCCCTAGAATAATCATTATGGAGTCTGTCCATCCTTTACTCATTCACTGCATGGGGACAGGTGTTAGTTATGAGATTGGTGAATTTAGAAAGCTAACCAATTTCATACCTATTTTGGGATTCTCAATTCACAAACTTTTGTGCGTTTCTTAATTATTTCCTTTCTTTTTCTTGTAGAGAGCAGTCATGATGGCCTGCACTCCACACAATGCAACAGAGTGAAAGAGCAGGTTCTGCTTCTTTGGTGTAGTCCTGAAGCTTCCTAAGAAACTTCACATCAGGTGATGGATAGGAGCAACCCTGTAAAACCAGCCTTAGACTATTTTTCAAACAGTAAGTAATAAAGGTGACGTTTTGATCTTTATCTGCTTAATTACTTCTGCTATGATTCTATTGATTCTAACATTGAAGGAGCAGTAAATTTATATGTATTATCCAACTATAAAACAATAAATAAACGATATGTCAAATACATTATCACATCCTTATGTTCTTATGATAATATTGTCCTTTTTTTAACAGTTTTTATTCTTATTTGTTGATTGGTTTGTCTTTATGTTGTCCTTTCTACTATCAAACTGAACATGTTGAGGTCATAGGCTATCAAAACTGTACATTTCTGATGCTAACCATAGAGACTTAACAACAGTAAATAGGCCAAAATGGAATGTTGTTAGCCATAGTGTGTATTATTATTTCTTTTATACATGTGGTCACTGTTAGAGGAGTTTATGACTTTTTGCCTAGATTAATGACACACAAACCATCTACAAACGAATCATACCTTATTCCCTCACTGTAATTTTTAATGTTGCTATTTTTGCCTGTTAACATTCCATAGGTTTATCACATTGCTTAAAGATTTAATTTAATTTCTGTAATTGTATATGTCATGAGAGATTGCTTTTAACCTTCCAATGTTCGTGGTCTCATTTTCACTAACATAATCCCAACTTTAGCTGCGCACAATACCACATTTCCCAGCATTCCTTGCATCTGGATATAGCTGTATTCAAATAAGCCGTGTGAAACTTCTGGGATGGCTCCTTAAGTGCAGTTGACTCATTAGGGAGGTATGTCTTTTTTATTTTTCTACACTTTGTGCTGCTGTCCTGGAGTACAGACATGGTGGCTAGAAGCATGAAATCACCTTGAAGATAGAAGTCATGCATTGAAGTTAGTAAAAGTGAAATGTAAGTGTATAGTTTCCTGATGAAAATGGGAAGCTTATGTACTAGCAACAGAATGCTTATTATGCAGGCTTCCTATATGTAAAAGAGGACAAATTCTCATTTTATTAAGTTTCTGAAAGTAGATTTCTAAATGCTGGTTCTATTTTTTATTGAAAGTAATGGCAAAAAACGCAATGCCTTTTGTACCAACCTAATAGTTAATAAACATATCCTCAAATGAAATGTCTTAGAATTGTGTTCATCAAGTTAATATTAATAATTTATTAGAATAGCACTCTAAAGGGTTGCAGCCTATGCATGAAAATACTTACAAACTACTACATGATAATCAATTCTTTTTGGCAAGACTGCTATTTACATGGACACAAGAGTTATTATAAGAATGTTGTATGTATACATGAATAGTGTCTGTTAAACACTGGATATAATAAAAACAATAGTTTTTCTGTTAATTATAACAATCTGAACATTTTTGTGATTATATTTCACAAATGACACACCATTTTATTTGCAGATTTTTCTTATCCCCAAAGTTTTTGTTAATTTATTACCAACACAGCACACAAGTCTAGTGGCAATGCATTGCCTCTGCAGTTGATTTTGAAGTAAGAAGGCCTATTTATTGCATTCATTCCTGCTTAGATGACATCTTAAATTTGTTAATTGGATTATTATGCTCTATTCTATACATTTATTGATTTATAGATTTTGTGGACACAAATTTCAAAACATATTCGAAAATTTGGTGATAGCTTTTTAGAATCTATTCTTCAACATAGTTATTGAAAGTGAACAAGAAGGACCTCCTCTAGAGATTAGGTTGAGAACCACTTCTTTGATTTGTTAAATATGTGTACATGGATACCATGTGGCTTTATTATGAGGAGCCACTTAAGTGGCTGAGTTACAATTCACAAAACATTGTCACAGGGAAAATATCAGGACAAATTTTCAAGTCGCATGCCAAGAAAAGAAACTTTCTGAATGCTTATAAGAAATACCTTAATTAATGGGAGCCCTTCAAAGTACACAAAACATCATAACTAGGAGTTGCAACACAACCAGCAATTTGCTGATTGAAATGCATTCATTCATACTGACTTCACCTGCTGAATGGAATATTGTGCTGTACTGTCCTTAGCTATGGAGAGAGAATTAAGGAATATCCCCTTCTGGTGTTCAACAACAACGAAAGAGCAAGAAAGATATATTCCTAATTTTTAAAGAAGAATGTAGAGATACTTAAACAAGACAATGAAGGTGGTAGAAAGATTATTACCATCCCCAAAGTGTTTGCTCATTAAAACATTTTGTGATTTTCTCTGCCAATATCATACCTGTATGGATAATTGTTTTCCTATCCACACAGTTATGAGAGTGAGAAGATGGAATATAAAAGATGGAACAAGAGGGAATCTGTGTGGTGACCACAGTAATCACAGGCTGGTTGGGATCCTAAACTCGGCCACAGCACAAAAGCATGTTCAAGTTTAAAGTCATGAGAGAGGCCTGGCATAGTGGCTCACACCTATAATCCCTGCACTTTGGGAGGCCAAGGTGGGAGGATTGCTTGGGGCAAAGAGCTCAAGATCAGCCTGGGCAACATAGTGAGATCCCATCTAAAAAAATGTTCTTTAAGTTAGCCTTATGTGGTGGCATGTTCCTGTGGTATCAGCTACTCAGGTGGCTGAAGTGGGAGGGTCACTTGAGCCTGGAGGTTGAGCCATAATCATGCCACTGCACTCCAGCCTTGGTGACAGATTAAGACTCTGTCTCCAAAAGTAAAACACCAAACAACACAAAAAGTAAAGTCACAATAAAATGAGATGCTATTAAGGTTGTTTTAGGTTGATTTTCAACTAGACCAGCATTTAGCCTGTACAAAGGCATATACAAAATAAACCCTAAACCTAAATGGGATTCAGCAGCAGCAGTGTGGGTTAAAGAAGCCACCAGTTCCCTGGAGGCCAGAACCACAGGCCTGTGGCCTTTTTTATTGTTTTGACAGGGAGGTGGAAAGCAGGAGTATAACTACATTCAAGTGTCTGCTCTGTTGCTGTAGGAGAAAATCCGTGCTGTAGCACATCAAAGTTTTTCCAAATTTTATTTCTTAGGACATCTTTGGGGTTTATGTAAGTATTAAATAGAGCTCCCCTAGCCCAGGCTTACACAGGACATATGTCTAGTGTCATAGGTCTGTATGCTTAAATTATAGCAGAAAGTTTGCTAAAATTTAAGTGAAGTAATGTTGAAGGTTGAATCATTTGAAACAAACTACCTGCACCAAAATATTCTTTAGTGTACTGATTTCTATCCCACCCCTAATGAGGCTGAATTTTAATCTTAACTCTGCTTGTAATTAGGTATTTATATGTGTCTGTTATTCATTTTTTAACAAGATGTCTCTTCAGAGATAAAATGAGGGTAGCAAAAAATAATTTTAATAGCCATTTATATGGCTTTGATAACAATTGTCTGTTCTACTTATCTGACTGATTCTAAACTCTAAAGGTTATTTTACAGTTAGTAAATTACATAATTTTTATGCAACAATTTGCCTGCCAGGATTCCTATAATACTTGTCAGCTATCAGTAGGTATAAGCCTGTTAGCCTCTAATGTGAAGATAATATCTCTTTAAGTTATAACGCATTTACAATTGTTACAGTTTCTAAGGTCTTTTTGAAGTTAGAGATGCATCTGAGGATGATGGTTTTCAAGGAGATAGCTCTTTGACAAAAAATGACAATATGGGACTTAGTGTTATATTAATTTACACATTATGTTTTTGCTATAAAGAGATAAAAGGTGTGCTATACTACCTATCAATTACTGTATGCCACATTTTGTAGAATTGTTTTCCATATTATTGTAGAATGTGGCACTTAAATAGTATCATGAAAAAAGTTTATTCAAGAAATAAGACATTAATGAAATATAATTAATATATAAAGACTATATTTAAAAATAATTATGTATTTCTAATCCTAAACTTTTTAAGGTGACATTATTTTTTTCTGTGATATAATTTCAGTTGAGAAGAACTTTAAATTTTAATAAGATTTTAAGATGATTCAGTAATGTTAACATACTTTTCTTCTGTAAATTTTGTTAACAATTTAGCTGCATTAATTAAATATTTATGTAGCTAATTTTAATAGTGATATTTTAATACAATTCTTAATTTTACTCCTGGCTTTCAATCATTCATATATGTTTTTAAAAATTGCTTTTTCCATTGCTTTACTTCTTAATTACTTTTATCAAAGTCTTAATTGTGTGTGGTTGATTTTAAAAGTTAAATATTTCTATAAGATTTATAAAGACAAACTGGGTACAGTGAGTCACACCTGTAATCCCAGCACTTTGGGAGGCCGAGGGGGTAGATCACTTGAGGTCAGGAGTTCGAGACCAGCCTGGCCAACATGGTGAAAGCAGTTTCTACTAAAAATACAAAGATATGCCTGGTGTGGTGGTTGGCCCCTGTAATTCCAGCCACTTGGGAGGCTGAGGCAGGAGAATTGCTTGAACCTTGGAAGCGGAGGTTGCAGTGAGCTGAAACCATGCCATTGCACTCCAGCCTGGGCAGCAAGAGCGAAACTCCATCACACACACACACACACACACACAAAATATATATATATATATATATATATATATATAAAATATATATATGTATGTATGTATATATACATGTATATGTGTGTGTGTGTATATATATATACACACACTATATATATATATATATATATATATACACACACACAATAGAAATGTCCTGGCTATATCTATATTAATAGGTTTTGCACATTTAAACCAAAGTCACACATATGGTTTGATTCTAATTAATTCTAATGCATCTTGCAGGTTTCAAACTGTATTCTATTATGTAATTATCTGCTGATCCACTCTGTATCCTGTTGTGTAAGTTGCGATGATTAACCTCTGCCTTTACGATGTAATCCAAATGTAGCATATAGACCTCAATGATAAGATTGATCATGGTGCATTTAATCATTAATTTATTATTAATCTCTTTTATCCTGGTACTTAGAGTGCAGATTTTTCTCAACAACTATTTACGCAATCATTAAATGAAATACAGCCTTGTGTCACTTAGCAATGAGGATATGTTCTGAGAAGTGTGTGGCTAGGTGATTATCTTACTGTGCAAACTTCATAGAGTGATCAATCTATAATGGTGATAGCAATTTTTCAACCCTATTATAATCTTAATGAGCCATTGTTTTACATGCTGTCTCTTATTGATGTAAACGTTGTTATGTGGCACATGATTATGTAAAAGATATTAATCCATTCATTATTTATGCATTCATCCATTTGACCTATGGTAGTGTTCTATTGAAAATGAGTCATCGTGATACAGAAATCCACTGTTAGTTGTTTTTACTTTCTCTTGTTCGTGGGGAAGAGTGGGTATTGATTTTAAAAGTCTAAAGAATGGGGTATTGTGAATAGTGCCGCAATAAACATACGTGTGCATGTGTCTTTATAGCAGCATGATTTATAATCCTTTGGGTATATACCCAGTAATGGGATGGCTGGGTCAAATGGTATTTCTAGTTCTAGATCCCTGAGGAATCGCCACACTGACTTCGACAATGGTTGAACTAGTTTACCGTCCCACCAACAGTATAAAAGTGTTCCTATTTCTCCACATCCTCTCCAGCACCTGTTGTTTCCTGGCTTTTTAATGATTGCCATTCTAACTGGTGTGAGATGGTATCTCATCGTGGTTTTGATTTGCATTTCTCTGATGGCCAGTGATGGTGAGCATTTTTTCATGTGTTTTTTGGCTGCATAAATGTCTTCTTTTGCGAAGTGTCTGTTCATGTCCTTCGCCCACTTTTTGATGGGGTTGTTTGTTTTTTTCTTGTAAATTTGTTTGAGTTCATTGTAGATTCTGGATATTAGCCCTTTGTCAGATGAGTAGGTTGCGAAAATTTTCTCCCATTCTGTAGGTTGCCTGTTCACTGTGATGGTAGTTTCTTTTGCTGTGCAGAAGCTCTTTAGTTTAATTAGATCCCATTTGTCAATTTTGGCTTTTGTTGCCATTGCTTTTGGTGTTTTAGACATGAAGTCCTTGCCCACGCCTGTGTCCTGAATGGTAATGCGTAGGTTTTCTTCTAGGGTTTTTATGGTTTTAGGTCTAACGTTTAAGTCTTTAATCCATCTTGAATTAATTTTTGTATAAGGTGTAAGGAAGGGATCCAGTTTCAGCTTTCTCCATATGGCTAGCCAGTTTTCCCAGCACCATTTATTAAATAGGGAATCCTTTCCCCATTGCTTATTTTTCTCAGGTTTGTCAAAGATGAGATAGTTGTAGATATGCGGCGTTATTTCTGAGGGCTCTGTTCTGTTCCATTGATCTATATCTCTGTTTTGGTACCAGTACCGTGCTGTTTTGGTTACTGTAGCCTTGTAGTATAGTTTGAAGTCAGGTAGCGTGATGCCTCCAGCTTTGTTCTTTTGGCTTAGGATTGACTTGGCAATGCGGGCTCTTTTTTGGTTCCATACGAACTTTAAAGTAGTTATTTCCAATTCTGTGAAGAAAGTCATTGGTAGCTTGATGGGGATGGCATTGGATCTATAAATTACCTTGGGCAGCAAAGACTTGGAACCAATCCAAATGTCCAACAGTGATAGACTGGATTAAGAAAATGTGGCACATATACACCATGCAATACTATGCAGCCATAAAAAATGATGAGTTCATGTCCTTTATAGGGACATGGATGAAATTGGAAATCATCATTCTCAGTAAACTATCGCAAGGACAAAAAACCAAACACCGGATGTTCTCACTCATAGGTGGGAATTGAACAATGAGAACACATGGACACAGGAAGGGGAACATCACACTCTGGGGACTGTTATGGGGTGGGGGGAGGGGGGAGGGATAGCACTCGGAGATATACCTAATGCTAGATGACGAGTTAGTGGGTGCAGCACACCAGCATGGCACATGTATACATATGTAACTAACCTGCACATTGTGCACATGTACCCTAAAACTTAAAAGTATATAAAAAAAAAAGGGGGGGGTATACACACAATCAGGTGTCAAGCAGTGGCACCTCGTGCAAAATAATAAACTCATCTAAGATCCTAGCAGTTCATTCTGAAAATAAAGCTGGAAATATATCTTGGATATGTAAAATGTGAGTGTAAAAATTAATGAAACTAAGCAATGGGAATATGAGTAGTAAATTATTTGAGAAAATATTATAACATTTACTTTTTTAAATTTCAAAACTATATTTCCTTATTTAAAACTGAAAATTTTTGTGTACATATAGGAAACTAATTGTGTCATTTTTCTTTTTGTTACAATATAGAGTGATGTTTCAAAACACAAACATAATAGGTAGAGTCAATTACTTAGGGGAGTCTAAACCTGGAGGTAACATTAGAAATAGAAATAATAAAATGCAGTGTTTTTGGATTTGTCTGTTAAGATTATTTTAATCCAGATCATATTTAATGGTTTACATAGTTGTATATCAAATTTGGTTTCAGAAATAAATTATACAGTAAATTTAAAAATGCAAAAAATGTATATTGTTATACATTCTGTAACCTATGAATCCATATAACTTGGGCAAGAAAATTATATAATTAAAAATAAAACCTTTCTGTTCTCAATTATGTTTTAGGGACAGCTATATAGTTCACACTCACAAAGGAATCATAAAAACTCTATGTATAATCTTGGAAGTAAAAATATCTGTTGTATCATATTTATGAAGTATACAATTGATTAAAAATGATAATGTCTGTCTTCTATCCAACGGCAATAACAGAAGATAATGGCATATAAGTAGGCCTGTCTCCTTTTTTTTGGCATTGATTTATATATCTTTACTAGCTTTGTTGTTTTAACTCCAATAAAAGATTATTTAGTAAGCCAAAGCAAAAAAAAAAAAAAAATCCTGTGAGCAGCCACAAACTGAAAGACTACGATTTTTAGTCAATGTCCTAAGCAACACAGTAATTTTAGGTTAACCAATGTGTCAAAGAGAATGAGGAAAAATTATTACAAAAATGAATAAATAAACTGGTCTAGGTCAAACCGTACTCCTTCTAAAGAGAGTAGTCAACTGATATTAAAGCCTGTGACGTAGTATGTGCCATATTGAGTATGCAATATCTAAATATTTCTTTTTTTTCTTTCTCCAGCTACTGCAAACCCTAATTGTTTCCTTATCCGATCACTTTAAAGTCATTCAGCAAATCATAATTATGCCATTGTTAACATCAGAAACTGAAAACCTACTGTCAAAAGTGAGCTAAAATATCATATTTGGATTTATTTATAAATTTATTTTATAAAAAGATTGACTTTCAATTTGAGAATAACATAAAAAATCAATTCATTCCTCTGTGCATCAATATTGTATCATTGGTAGTTTAAACTTTTCATCTAATATTAGATTGCATGCAGGATTTTATATCTAATTACTCTGGCAGATGGCCTTTAGAAAGTTCAAAAATAAAATGCAGCAATTCATATTGGCAGATTTACTATTGAGACCAATGCTTTCTTAACTAAAAGGTTTTGTTTAAAATCGTTAGTTTAGGAAATCTGATAAAGATTTTTGAATATCAGAGCGTTTAAAAGAGATTCTTACTTTACATCTGGCATATTTCTTGTGTTACATATTATAATTTCATTGAACATGGCTGTCTGTAAAACTATGTATATGATCCGGAAGAGACTCAAATTAAATTAAGTTTTAACAGCCATCAATTCATTTTAAAATGACACAGGCATGAAAAATGATCTATCAAGATTTGTAAATCTTATTCTGTTAGCTATTGCTAGAGATAGTCTAAAGGTATTCTACTTGGAATTTGAGATCAAGACAAAGATTTTCTGTTGGTAATAATATTCAGATTATTTTTATTTTAATGTATAAATTTAAAATTCTTAGAATATTTTCAACAATATTTTCCATTTCTAAATTTATTTTATTTCTAAACAAATGTAATTACTTTATTTATTAACTTTTATTTTCAGTTCAGGGGTATATGTGCAGGTTTGTTATATAGGTAAACCTATAGGTAAATAGGTATACAGATTATTTTGTCACCCAGGCATTAAGCCTATGCGCGTTAGTGAAAAATGTTATTGCTTTAAATATCCAAATTATTCAGCTGCATTTGAACTCATTCTTTAGTCCAATGTAAGTAAGAGTAAAACAATGACATTTAAGGCCACCAGGCTATTCTCATTTTTGGAAAAATGCTGGATTACATTACCAGCATATTAAATGAGAATATCAAGGTGTAATATCTCCCTAGAAATTGTCTCACCTTCAATACTATTGACATTTTTGGACCTGATAATTTTGTTGTGGGCTCTAGCCTCATGTTATAGGAGGTTTACCAGTTTTCCTGCCCTAAACTTACCGGATGTGAATAGCATCTTTGGAATCTTCAGAACCTCTTTAGAGTTTGGGATTTAAGAGTCAGTAGGTAGATAGTGAGCTTAAGATGCCAAACACAACATATAAAGCTATAAAAATCCATATGATCTTGAAAGATTAAATGGAAGCCCAGCACAAAACAATTGCTGAGTATATTATTTACATTATCTGAAAGTATGCCAGACAGACACTTTATATGTTAATAAAGATATGAGAAAGAAAATTCCAAAGAGTTTCTAAAAAGTGAACAACCACAAAATTTCAATAGCTTGCAACAGACATTTTCTTCTCACTCATGTTACCTGATGGAAAATCAAATGGCTGCCTGGAGACAGCATGGAGGGAGAGACTGATTACTGAGGTGCACAAGAAAACTTTTCATAATGATGGTTGTGAATGTAGTGATATTTCCAAAAGTATATACATATATATATATATCTATCTCAAATTTGACCACATCACACATTTCAAGTATACTGAATTGACTGTGCATCTCTTATTATACCCCAGGAAAGTTGAAGATATGACAATGAAAAAAAAATTCTTCCACCGACTACCCATCAATTTTCTTCTCATTAGCCTCACAGATTTCACAGTTAATTAAAGGGAAGATGCAAATATGTTCAAACTGTACATATTCTGAGGCCCATACCTTGCCATTAGCTCAATAAAGAGAGACATTGTCCCTGGCATGAAAATGAAAAACTTGCACACTCCCTAGGTGGCTTCTGGACACTCTTAAGACATGAACACACTTTGGGGGCTCACCCTGTCAGGCTTTGCTCTCCGAGCTTAGATGAGAAAAACACAAAAATAAAACCAAAAGGTGACATTTAGGTGCCCATCAAGAAAGATGTGTTGGGAACTGGACAGGTCAGGGCTTTAAGTACTGTATCTTACTGTATGTTTAAGTACTGTATGTTACTGTGGAAACTTACCCATTTTCCCCTCAGAACAACTCTGTCTCAGGAGGTGAGTCTGAGAGCTACTGTTTCTTTGTAAAGGTTTTATCTGATCAGGCCCACGGTCACCACGTCAGCCCCACTGCCCCTAAATAGTTTGAATCTTGATGTTTTGATTTCAAGGACTTCTGATTCTAGCTACATAGCTTTGTCCATTTCCCACCTTACCACTATTTACTTTGAATTTTGTTGCATGCCGAGACCAGTGACTGCCACAAATGTGACTGTTCCTAGAATCTGCTTTCTGCTCTGATCTTTAGTCAGTGCGCAGACTCTAACATAAACTCCTTTCTATCGTATTTTCTTGAGTCCAAGAGCCCATAGATTGTATAATGCACTATTTTATGTCCCGTTAAGCAAGTAATTCGCATTGTGGCTAATTAAACTAAGACATACCACTGAATTGTAAAATGCATTATATTTTCAGGAGATATTAAAATATGAAATGTATAGGTCTTGGAATAGATGAATTGTGACAGTATCTTTGGAAAGCTAATTCAGTTGCAGTATTGCTTAAGATGTCTTTAAGAGCTGACTTCCTTTAGTTGGAATACATATGTAAATTATTTGCAGAGGAGATTTACCTCTTTTATCTCATTCATTTGTTTATTCAGTCATTTATTGATATCAATATGGACTAAGGAAAATTACATTTTTGGGTATAATCCAAATATAATACCAATTAATGTATTGTGTTGCTAAAATTATTCTAGAAATTGAAAGACCTTTCACTTGGCCCCTGTGCTTGTTTGACATATCTCACAAATAGATTTTTGTTAGTATTTTCATAATTTCTGGCACTAGAGGATGTCCCAGGCTCATCTTGTGTATTTTCTTCCCCATTCTTAGAATCAGCCACTTTCAAAGACGCCCTGCTTTCTATATATGAAATCAATATTTAAGTGCTAGCTGTGCCTGTAGCTAAGGGAATATCAATTTTTTCATAGCTCTCTAAGATGAGAGAGCAAAGAAACAATGTGTATATTCTTACACATATGTAGACACATATCTTTAAATATTTCTATATGTAAACATCTATATTAGTCCATTATCCCATTGTTATAAAGAACTACCTGATCCTAGGTAATTTATAAAGAAAAGAGCTTTAATTGCCTCACAGTTGCACAGGCTGTACAGGAAGCAAGGATGGGGAAGCCTCAGAAAACGTACAGTCATAGCAGAAGGCAAAGAGGAAGCAGGCACATCTTACATGGCTGGAGAAGGAGGAAGAGAACTAAGGGGGAGATGCTACACACTTTTAAACAACCAGATTGTGTGAGAACTAAGTCATTATCACAAGAACAGCAAGGAGGAAATCTGCCCCCATAATCCAATCCCCTCCCACTAGACCCCTCCTTCAACACTGGCGATTACAATTGGACGAGAGGTTTGAGAGGGGACAAAATGTAAACCATATCACCATCTATGTCTATATTAAGCTAAACATGGGTTCTTACTGATGTCACTACCTCTAACCTAGTCCCGCAAGCATCAATGCCTTCCTGTATCTCTAAACCCCCACTCCAACAATAAAAATCCTGACTCTTATTTTGTGACATCTATTTAGTTAATTGTTCACTTCCAGTATATGTATATAGCTGTACCAGAATTGATAACCTGCCCTTAGTAGAAGAACATCTTTATCAACTAAATTAAATGCCTTCGTACAAGTTTCTTTTGCCTTTCATCTTAAGAGACTGCACTCATTTTCAATATCACTTTGACTAGCACCCTTTCCCTTAAGTCCCTCACTGAAGTTATTTTGTATGGTTCATAATAGAGCTAGATAAATTTGTAACAGTCTGCATTCCATCCTGAGATTCTACAACCTTTTAATTAATTTTTAATTAAAAATATAACTTTTATTTTGGTAAATATTAGCACTTCTGTGCCACACTACTATATATAAATATCAAAAAAAGGTCCAGAAAGCTATAGAAAATTTAAGTAAAGTGCTGAATGTTGAACCTAACAATAACTGGGCTAAAGTAAGTACAGAAGGCAATTTTTTATTTACGTAAATTTGTGGGATACAAATATAATCTTATTACCTCCATAAAGTACGTAGTGTTGAAGTAAGGGTTTTAGAATATACATCACCTGAAAAATGTACATTGTACTCATTACATAATTTCTCATCATCCCCTCCTCCCACCCTCCTGAAATTTCCAAGTCTCTGTTGTCTATCATTCCACATTCTATGTCCATGTGTATACATTATTTAGCTTCCAGTTATAAGTGAGAACATGCAGTATTTGTCTTTCTGTGTCTGATTTGTTTCACTTAAAATAATGACCAGTTACATCCATGTTGTTACAAAAGACATGATTTTATTCTTTTGTATAGCTGAATAGTATTCTATAGCGCATATATGCCAGATTTATTAATGTAATCATCCACTGAGGGACACATTGCTATTGTGAATAGTGCTGTGATAAACATATGGGTGCAGATACCTTTTTCATACAATTATCTGTTCTCCTTTGGGTAGATCTCCAGTAGTGGGATTGTTGGGTGAAATTGCGGTTTTATTAAGAATGTATATTCTGTAGTTGCTGGGTAGTATTTTCTGTAAATGTCAGTTAGGTCTATTTCATCTAAGGTTGAATTTAAGTCTTAGGTTTATTTGTTTTCTGTCTTGATGATAACATTTAATGCTGTGAGTGAGATGGTAAAGTCCCCCAGTATTATCGTATTGCTGTCTATTCCTTTTTTATGTCTAGTAATATTTATTTGATGAATCTTGGTGGTCTAGTGTTGGATGCATATGTGTTTAGAATTGTTATATCCTCTTGCTGAATTGATCCCTTTATCATTATGTAATGACTTCCTTTGTCATTGTTATACTGTTTTAGATTTAAGTTCTGTTTTACTTGATATAAGTATAGCTATTCCTGCTTGCTTTTAGTCTCCGTTACATGGAGTATCTTTTTTCACCCATTTACTTTAAATCTGTATGTGTCTTTACTTTTCAGTCTGTATGTGTCTATATGTTTCTTGTAAGCATAATATTTTTGGATCATTTTTTAGTTCGTTCCATCAATCTACCTTTCTTTTTTTTTTTTTTTTTACTTTTAGATGGAGTTTCACTCTGTCATCCAGAGTGGAGTGCAGTGGCGCAATCTTGGCTCACTGCAAACTCCGTCTTGCAGGTTCAAGCGATTCTCCTGCTTCAGCCTCCCAAGTAGATGGGATTACAGGTGCCGGCCACCACGCCTGGCTAATTTTTGTATTTTTAATGGAGATAGGGTTTCACTATGTTGGCCAGCCTGGCCTCGAACTCCTGACCTCGTGATCCACCCACCTCGGCCTCCCAAAGTGCTGGGATTACAGGTGTGAGCAACTGCACCTGGCCCAATATCTATCAATCTATATATTTTAAGTGGAATGTTTAATTCATTTACATTCAAGGTTAATGTTAATACATGAGGTTTTCTTTCTGCCATATTGCTGTTTGTTTTCTACTTGTTTTATAAGTTCCTTGGGGTTATTTTGTTGTTGTTTTTTGTTTTTCTTTCTGTGTGTCTCTTTGTCTTTGTGGTTTGGTGGAAATCTGTTGTGTTGCTATTTGATTGCTCGTCCTACTTTGTGTGACTGTTTTACAAGACCTATGAGTTTGCTACTTTCATGTGTTTTGATGATGATGATGAATGTTGACCTTTCATTTTTGTGTTTGGGACACCTTTGAGTATTTCTCATAGGACTCGTTTGGTGGTGACGAATTCCCTCAGTGTGTGCTTGTCTGGAAAATACTTTGAATCATTTCAAGAAAATTAGCAGTGAGTTATGTCAATCAAGCCATTGGTTTGTATTTGGTGGCACATTTACTCTGTATTATTTCACACTAGAACCATCTGAGTTAAGTTTTATTATTTGCTATATGTTGCAGATGAAGAAACTGAAGCTGAGAGAGGTTTAGTGAATGACTGAAAAGGTTGTCAGGCTGCAGGGAAAAAAACAAAACAAAACTGTACGACTAGCCTGCAATGCTTCCCAAAGTATGTAGCTTATTATTATTGGTCACTTTTTGAGTACAAAATGCTGTGCTATGTAACAAAATAATACAATGTACATATGTATAAAAGTTAACATATACATATCAATTAACATAAGCATAACTGTAATCACATATACTGATAAATAAAAATATAAAGTAATATATGGTAATGACCCAACCATTTGCCTAAGTTTCATGTATTACAGAAGTTTTGAGGAGGGACTTCAGCTGTATGCAAATCAGCAATTCGGGTTGTACAGTTGATTACCCATTAGTTCAGAATTTTAATAATTTAAAATATATTTATTAAGAACCTAACAATTGGAAGACCTTACAATAGGTGGGAAAATTCGACAGATGAATAATGCTTAGGAGATATCAGCATGTTTTGGAAGGATATTCCCATGAAGAGAAAAAGTATTGTGGGAAGTGTGGGAAGTGTTATGGTGCGAGAGTAATATAGGTTCCAGCATGTGTTTACATTATTTTGTTGGAGGTGTTGGGGAACCTTTCATGGAAGGTGTGTGGTAGACTGTTGGACAGGTTTCCTCAACTTTCGTTCCACTCTTTGAAGAGGTTAGAAAATTAAAACAAAACAAGCAATGCAGCTTCCCTTGAGCTAGCTTTATGAATGCAGCTTAGACCACTTACCGATTGTTTGCATATGAATCAGACTTAGAAAAATGGAAGAGATCAAAGCCTGTCTTGCTATTGTTGATTCTGGCAAGTGAAATCATGGGGACAATAGTTCAGAAGTAGTGGAAGTGGTAGGATTCAATATCCTTGTGCCTAATCCCCAGTTTCATGGGCATAAGAGGCTTAAAGTTTTAATAGCAGGAGCATCTTTTTGACCCAGGATTGCAGAAATGATTGCGTGCCTTTGAATTCAAGAACTCAAAACCTTCCTCCATGCCACAGCTACTTTAGTTATTTTAGCCCTTCCTATTGTATATGTATGAAATGCACTTTCTGCTTAAGATACCTATTGCGGTTTTTATTTCCTTATTAAAACCTTGGAAAAATATAGCACTTAAATTATGTTTTGTAGAAATTCACTAAGCAAATAAAGCTAAAGGGGGAGAGAGTTAACCTTCTCTGCCCCCTTTTTATCAGAAGTTAGTTGTAGAAGAAATACACAATTTTTGCGCAATGTTAGCACCATCTAAGTTCTGTAGGTCTGGAACACAGACTGGTTAAATGAGCATTTCAGGAGCGCTATAGTTGCAAAGTTAAGCAGTCACCACAATTTTATGTGTCATACAAAGATTTTTAACTTTATGTTTAAGCAACGAGCCTAGAAGCAAATGGTATTTCCATCAAGAATTGTCTCATATAAAGTAGAGCGTTTTGGAAAATGGAGTTATTAATAGATAAAAACATGTTTATACAGTTGGTTTCTAAGTATGACAAACCTATTTCTTGGTAAATTGCAAGTCCATTCCACCTGTGTTTGTAGGCTCATTTGCCTAAAAGTCTTGGGATTTTTTTCTGATGATCTATTAAATTTTCTTTCTGATTATCTTTTCTAATGCTGTAATAGCATTTCTAACACTGTAATGAAAGAGAACAAAAGTACACGCTTGCTCATCATTTACTAATTCTAAAAATATATATTGAATACATCTATGTAGCAGGTACTGTGGTAGGTGTGGAAGATAGTTGAGACAGGTAACAAGCCCAACATTACGGAGCTTAGCATCACCACCTAGAAGAGTTTTTAAAAAACATAGATAAGTGAATCATGATTATAAAGACAAAGAGATTCTTGCCATATAATTACATATAAGCAAATTTAGGATGTGATGAAAGATTTTGATATTGGTCTTCTGATTTGGCTGTAGGATGAAGTGTTTATAAGTCATCCCAAGGAAGAAACAATTCAGATGAGAACTATTCAATGGATTTGCAATAACAATCCAAAGATGGAAGAAGACACTTCTAGGTAGACAAAATTGCAAGTATAGAGAATGTAAATTAAGAGAGAGCTTAGCTTTCAGATGAATTAAAAGATTGTGGTGATCAGAATGTAGAGATTGACGAGAGACAAATGAAATAAAACTAGAAGGACAAGTAGAGATTTGTGGGTCAAGTTTTAAAATTTTATTATAAATGCACTGATACTGTTCTGAACATTTTCTTACACATGGAAATTTAATGATTATGGCTATTGAAAAATGTAACTCTTCATTTATATTTTTCCGAGAATGAAATCGGTGGAATTGCTGGGGGGTGAAAATGTCCAATGCGAAACAGGAGGCTAATTTAAGAAGGGATACTGCAAAATTGGTCATGATGGCTCAAACTGCTGTTCATAATAGAGAGAAGAAAATGGATAGAGTTACATATGGATGAGAGTAAATTGACAAGGCTAAATGCTAAAACGTGGGTAGTGACAGAAAGTAGGTGTCAAAATAGACTTCCAGGAAAAGAAAAAATGGGTCTACAGAAGAGCCAAATGCTGATGTGGGTTACATGATCCTGAGCAGATGCAGTTGTAATTGGTTAAGTAAAGTAAGTTCTTAAGATAGATTTGGCCTGGCGCTATACATTCTAGAGCCCTTGAATATAAGTGGGATATAAAACCATGGGAATGACTGTATTTGTCTAAGGAGAGAATTTGGCAGAAGAAAAGGAGACATAAGATGAAATGCAGAGGAAATTCAAATTTAATTGGCAGGTGTAGGAAGACAAGGAGATGACAAAAGGAACTGGAAATGAGTAATCAGAGACAGAAAAGTAAAAGTAAGAGTAGAATGTCATGGAAGGCAAATAATTGGAATGTTTCAAGATCAGGGAAATGGGCAATAAAGAGAAGAAAAAAATAGTGACCAGAGGGTATAGTAATGTGTAGAAATTCATCCTGTGTTAGGTTTGATTGCTTAGACGTTTTATATAAAAATCTTTCCCAGAGAGTAATAAAACAGAAGTGAGGTTAGAGAAAGAACATACGATTTAGCCAAAAGGTGGGAAAAGTTAGGAAATGAAGAATAAATATGTTTAAAGATAATGTTATGGCTACTCAATGTACAACCTCTTTTCTTTCATTATTTTTAATTGTCATATTTAAAAATAGTAATTACCACTTTTAAAAATTGTCTTATTATTTGTTACATAAGAAAATGCATTAATTCAAGCCACATAGTATCATTTATATTATGACTGTCGAAACATTACTAGAATTACTAGAACTATTAACCTAATGGCCTGAAAATTTCAACTCACTTCCCTAGCTGTCCTGATGATCATTAGTGAAAGGAAAGACTCCATTAGATAATGCTTACTTATAGAGAACTGGTTATATCTGTCTCATTTCCATACATATATCTGTATAAATTAATTTGATTAATAAAACAAACACAAGGCACAAACAACAAAACACAATTTATAAATGTCATTGAAAAATGCATGCCTGTACAATTTGGGTATTTGTAATTGTAAATTGATATACTTCATTTTTTATCCAGGAGTTACTTAGATTGAAACTTTACCTAATGTATGATAAAATAATACGTGATTAAATTTAAAAACATGATGAATTTATTTAAAATTGGCTTCAATAATGTCAGAAAGTAATAAAATAAAATGATTCCTTCAAAGACTGCACCTGTTTATTGCCTGAGATTATCTCTCTTGGCCACAAATCAATATTACTTTCTTTCATTCATCAGTGATAAAGCTTTTCAATAATTCTAATTTTAAAGGATGATTACAGCAAGTATATAGTCATTGATTGCTTAAAGGTTGCAGCTAAAATGAACACAATGGTCATTTTATTTTTAATAAATGAGCCCTTTTGAAAAGTCAAGCATTTTTCCTCTCACAAAACTTTGTGTAATAAGATTATAGATTTGATCATGTATGAGTTTGCACTGTGTGTGTGTATATATGTGTGTGTGATTTCAGCGATAAAGTTCACTGTTCCACAGCTGGCAATTTCTTCTGCTTAATTGAAAATTCCGTTTTAAAATATTTCTTTAAAGTTCTAAAATGGGTTTAAATGGGTTCATGAGCTGTAATACTATTAAAAATATATATATCTACATATTTGTTGATTCTTCTCAGTTTAAGAAGTGGAGCTTCATACTCCTCCCCTTGAAGGCAGGCTAAGCTGAGTGACTCCCATCTAAGAAATAAAACACCACAGGATTGGAATGTTACCTTCTGAGACAAGGTCACAAAGGCTAGGGTTTTAATTTTGAGTGAACTAATTTGCTCCTTACTGGTGTTTCTCTCTCTTTCTCTCCTTCAACTCTTTACGAGCCCAGCCACCATGCAAATAATTCCAAACTATCTTTTCTAGAAAGCTCACATGAAGAACCGAGGCATCCTATCTGATATCCAGCCAAATGATTAAACATTCTAGAAGCAGACTATGATGCACTGAATTTGTGAAATCCTAACCCCCAGTGTAATGATAGTAGGAGGTGGAGCTTTTGGTAGATGATAGTCTGTCTTCATGTTGGGGATTAGTGCCTTGATTATTATTTTTTATTTTTATTTTTATTTATTTATTTATTTATTTTTTGAGACAGAGTTTTGCTCTGTTACCCAGGCTGGAGTGCAGTGGTGCCATGTCAGCTCACTGCAGCGTCTGCCTCCTGGGTTCAAGTGTTTCTTCTGCCTCAGCCTCCTGAGTAGCTGAGACTACAGGTACGCACCACCACACCTGGCTAATTTTTGTATTTTTAGTAGAGACGGGGTTTCACCATACTGGCCAGGCTGGTCTGGAACTCCTGACCTCGTGATCTGCCTGCCTCAGCCTCCCAAAGTACTGGGATTACAGATGTGAGCCACCGTGCCCAGCCGGGGATTAGTGCCCTTGTAAAAGAGACCCCAAAAAGCGTCCTTGCCCCTTCTGCCATGTGAGCTAGAGGACAGTAATCTATGAACTAAAAAATGGGCTCTGACCAGACACCAAATCTGCAAGCACCTTGATTTTGCACCATCCAGCCTCCGGTACCATTAGAAACGTTTCTGTTGTTTATAAGCTACCCTGTCTATGGTATTCTGTAGCGACAGTGCAAACAAACTAAGACACGGACCTTCCAACACAAGTTAAAGGCTTCAGGGGATGCTGCCTGGGTCAACAACATGACAGCAACCTTTACTCATGAGAGACTTCGAGTCAGAACCACCTACCCAAATCCATCATTTCCCTGACTTCTATAAATTGTGTCATACATATTTGTTATTTTAAGCCATTAAGTTTTAGGGTAATTTTTAAATGGAAAAATACATGATCATAGGTAAACTATAATTAATAGAAAAATCTAATGCCAATAATATTTACCATTGATTGACCGTCAAAACTCCATTAATTATTTGCTTTCCATTTATATTTATTTTTGGATTTCTTTTTTAAGAGAATGGCACCTGTGACAGCATACTGTTAATATTACCCTTTTATCGTACTTTACCATGCCATCTCTGAAGAATATTACAGACCATTTTGGAGCATGGTGAATAAGAAATTTTCACCTTAGGAGTTCACTTGAATAGTCATTTTTATATTTGTGACTGCAAGTCACTTTTAGGGGCTGTACTTCCTTAGTACTGGTAGCATTATTATCCAATGGACTTTTTTAGCTTTCATTAGGTTTTCTTTTGTTTTTGTTCTTTAAAGAACGTTTTACTTGTCTTAGTATTTCATTTTTTAATCTATACTATGAGGCAGTAAGAGTCTTCTGTTTTTCCAAAGTGGAGACTGCTTTATATTTATTTCGTATTGTCTACAGCTGTAGTGTTCAATACATTAGCCACTAGCCACATGTGGTTATTTAAATAAGATAAAATAAAAATTGGCCGGGCGTGGTGGCTCACGCCGGTAATCCCAGCACTTTGGGAGGCCGAGGCGGGCAGATCATTAGGTCAGGAGATCGAGACCATCCTTACTAAGACGGTGAACCCCCATCTCTATTAAAAATACAAAAAATTAGCCGGGCGTGGTGGCGGGCGCCTGCAGTCCCAGCTACTCAGGAGGCTGAGGCAGGAGAATGGCGTGAACCTGGGAGGCAGAGTTTGCAGTGAGCCGAGATGGCGCCACTGCACTCCAGCCTGGGGGACAGAGCGAGACTCCATCTCAAAAAAAAAAAAGAAAATTAAAAATTAAGTTCTTTAGTTGCACTAGCCATATTTCAAATACTTGATGGATACATGTGGCTAGTGGCTAACATAAGGGATAGCACAGATATAAAACATTTCCTCGTCATATAAAGTTCTATTGGATAGTGCTGGTCTGTAGCTTATAGGATGGTATCTTAGTCTGCTTCAGCTGCTAAAACAGAATACCATAAATTAGGTAGCTTAAACAGTAGATATTTTGACCAGGCGTGGTGGCTTATGCCTGTATTCCTAACACTTTGGGAGGCCGAGGCAGGTGGATAACTTGAGCTCAGGAGTTTGAGACTAGCCTGGGCAGCATGGCAAAACCTTGTCTCTACGAAAATCAGCTGGGCATGGTGGTGCACGCCTGTAGTCTGAGCTACTTGGGAGGCTGAGGTGGGAGAATTGCTTGAACCTGGGAGGCGGAGGTTGCAGTGAGCCATGATCGCACCACTGTACTCCAGCCTGGATGACAGAATGAGACTCTGTCTCAAAAAAAACAAAAACAAACAAACAAAAAAACAGATATTTCTCACAGTTCTGGAGACTGGAAGTGCAAGATCAAAGTGTTGGCAAATTGTGTTTCTTAAAGAGGGCCTGCTTCCTAGATTGGAAATGGCCATCTTCTCTCGGTATCCTCACATGGTAGGGAGAAAAGCAGCTCTAGTGTCTCTTCTTATAAAGGAAGTAATGCCACCATAGGGGCTCTATTCTCATGACCTCATCTAAACCTAATTCTCTCCTAAAGGCCACGCCTCCCAGTATCCTCACCTTGGGGGTTAGGGCTTTATCATATGAATTTTTTTTTTTTTTTTTTTTGAGACAGAGTCTCGCTCTGTCTGTCACCCAGGCTGGAGTGCAGTGGCACAATCTCGGCTCTCTACAAGCTCCGCCTCCTGGGTTCACGCCGTTCTCCTGCGTCAGCCTCCTCAGTAGCTGGGACTAAGGCGCCCGCCACTGCGCCCGGCTAATTTTTTGTATTTTCAGTAGAGACGGGGTTTTACCATGTTAGCCAGGATGATCTCGATCTCCTGACCTCATGATCCACCCGCCTCGGCCTCCCAAAGTGCTGGGATTACAGGCATGAGCCACCGCGCCCGGCCTATCATATGAATTTTGAGGGAACACAAACATGCAGTCTGTAGCAGATGGTAATAGGCTGACATATTACACTTGTTGATGTAAATCTGATAGGTTTCTTTCTCTCCAAGGACAGCTTTTTAAATATTTAACAGTATCAATAATTTTTCAGGTTCTGTGAGAATTTTATAATTTATAATTTGCAGACTTAACGTATAATCTATTTTGTCCTAACAATTACAAATATATTTTTTATTTCAGATTGTATATATTCCTACCAGATGGAGATAATTACAGCTTTAAAAATTTTTATTTTTTCATTTTATTTCACACATTGACATTAAATTTTTATGGACACATAATAACTGTACATATATATGGGGTAGAATGTGATGTTTTAATACATGTACTCAATGTGTAATGATCAAATCAGGGTAATTTGCATAATGATTTTTCTGTAGGGAGAAAATTCAAAATCTACTCTTCTGGCTATTTTCAAATATATAATATGTTATTGTTAACTATACTCATCCTACTATGCAATAGGACACCAGAACTTATTCCTGGGTTCTACATCCGTTAAGGCAACCAAGGATTGGAAATATTGGAAAAAAAAATTGCGTCTGTACTGAACATGTACAGACTTTTTTCTTGTCCTTATTCCTTACACAATATAGTACAATAACTATTTGCATGACATTTACATCGGATATTATGAGTGATCTAGAGTTGATATGAAGTATATGGGAGGATGTGCAAAGGTGATGTGCAAATACTATGTCATTTTATATCAGGGACTTGAGTATCCTTTGTTACCCTCAGGAGATCCTGAAACCAGTCCCCCATGGATACTGAGGGCTGACTGTATAGTCCTATCCTCACGGAACTTTCATTCTAATGGGGGAAGACTGACTATAAACAAAATATATGTAATAGGTGGTGGTAAGTACCGTGGAGAAGTAACAAATGGGGCAAAGTGAGTTATACAGCTCCATTCTTAGAAACCTTGGAGTACTTTTCTTAGTTTATACTCGTGGTGGTTTCCTTTTGTCTCCTTTATTACATGGGACTCTGACATGTGCCCATAGCTAGGGTGACAGTAGGATCTACCCGATAGTAGGGTGGCAGTAGGATCTACCCAAAAAGCGTCCTGCTGATACAGGACCAAAGCATCCTGTTGTTCTCGAGCCTATAAAAAGAGCTAATGGTGTTGCTTCTCTTAACTGTGGCCTCCTACACTGTGTTTTGGATGATTGGTGATGTCTTGGATATTCTGTTTCTTTGGAACTTTGAATATACAACACTTTACTAGGGAATTAGCAATGGAAGCAGAGCAAAGATGTACAGAGGAAACAATGCGTAACTCTGATGGAATTGAAGTCATGAGGCAGCAGAGAGCTTAAATTACAGCTTTAAAAATTTTTATTTTTTAGAGGGAATTTACTTGGGAGTAACAGCAGTAATAGTTAACGGAGCCAGAATGCTTGAGTCATATAATTGCAAAGCAGAGTTGGGAGCAACAGATGCTAAAGAGTAGTTGCTGTAGTTCCTCTTTGGGTCGTAGGAGCAGTTGTCATATTACTATATAGCTACTGCATGAAGAAGAGTTCTTAGTGAGGCCTGGGTGAACAGCTCTTCTTAGTATTCTGTGTGACCCCATTTGACCTTTTAACAAATCCCTAAGTAAATAAATAGCCCCTCAGGAAAACTAAGTTTTTCTCTGCTGTTTTTTTGCTTGAGAGAGCTATAACTGTAATAGACTTATATTTCTGAACATTTTAGTGCTTGCCAATATTTGGTAATATTTATGTTTCCTATATTTGTAATGAACATTCTTCTTCCGGTACATTTTTTGTTAAATTATTGTTTGATGGATAAAAGTTCACCTTTTATTGTATAAAATTGACTGAGATTAATTTATACACATTGACAATGGGTAAATAGAATTTTTCAGATTATTAAAAGCTGAAGGATGCCCACGTAAGCAAAAAAAAAAAAGAAAAAACCAACAAAAATAAACCCAAACCCCTCAAACAATTTCGAACACGAAACATTCTTCTGATGCCGGCATCCCTGCTTGCAGGTGTGAAGGGGGCAGGAATCAGCGAGGTGTCCTGGGCTGAGTCCCCGGAGTGGGAAGAGGTGGCAGGAAGGGGATCTGAGGAGGAGAACAGGGGTCCTGGTGGTCTGTGCTTCTTCCCAGACACGGGAGCTGTAGAGGAGACCTCTGCAGCAGATGCTAGGGGGGCCAGTAGGCCCAGGCAGTCTTGGGACTTGGGTCTGTCCTGCTGTGCATCCATAGTGGGTGCTTTAGAAACGGGAGGCCCACCCGAAGCCCCTGTTGCAAGTGAGGACAAAGTGTGGGAAGGCCGTGAGGGTCTGCAGTCCGAGATGGCCTTGTCCTCAACGTGCAGTGCACTGTTGATGCGGGGCCTAGAGGCCTGGGATCTGGGGGAGCCACCCCTGGGGGCGAGTGTCTGCCCTGGTGCTGTACCTGCCTTGTTTTCACAGCGGTGACCCGAAGAGACAGCCTGAGGTCCGTCCTCACTCACTGTGTTTGAGGAACTGTGGGCCAGCTGGCAGTGGGATGAGGCTGGCCCCCTCCTCCGCTTTAGTTCCTGGAGGCCTTCCGTAGAGCTGTGGGAGCTGGAGCTGGCATTTCGTTTGAGGCAGGATCTGGTCCGGGAGGTCTGGGATCTCTGGTTATATCTCACTTCTGACCTCTGGGCACGTGCTGCAGCTGTGGCTGAGGCCAAGAAATGTGAGGGGCCTCCATCCACTGCATTGAGTAGCGACCCCGACGTGGGGTTCAATGTGGAGGGGGGAAGGGCTGCTGCGGCAGCTGCAGGAGCCGAGGTGCCAGGCCTTGTTCTTCTCATGCCGGCATCCCTGCTTGCAGCTGTGAAGGTGGCAGGAATCAGCGAGGTGACCTGGGCTGAGTCCCGGGAGTGGGAAGAGGTGGCAGGAAGGGGATCTGAGGAGGAGAACAGGGGTCCTGGTGGTCTGTGCTTCTTCCCAGACACGGGAGCTGTAGAGGGGACCTCTGCAGCAGATGCTAGGGGGGCCACTAGGCCCAGGCAGTCTTGGGACTTGGGTCTGTCCTGCTGTGCGTCCATAGTGGGTGCTTTAGAAACGGGAGGCCCACCCGAAGCCCCTGTTGCAAGTGAGGACAAAGTGTGGGAAGGCCGTGAGGGTCTGCAGTCCGAGATGGCCTTGTCCTCAACGTACAGTGCACTGTTGATGTGGGGCCTAGAGGCCTGGGATCTGGGGGAGCCTCCCCTGGGGGCGAGTGTCTGCCCTGGTGCTGTACCTGCCTTGTTTTCACAGCGGTGACCCGAAGAGACAGCCTGAGGTCCGTCCTCACTCACTGTGTTTGAGGAACTGTGGGCCAGCTGGCAGTGGGATGAGGCTGGCCCCCTCCTCCGCTTTAGTTCCTGGAGGCCTTCCGTAGAGCTGTGGGAGCTGGAGCTGGAGCTGGCATTTCGTTTGAGGCAGGATCTGGTCCGGGAGGTCTGGGATCTCTGGTTATATCTCACTTCTGACCTCTGGGCACGTGCTGCAGCTGTGGCTGAGGCCAAGAAATGTGAGGGGCCTCCATCCACTGCATTGAGTAGTGACCCCGACGTGTTGTTCAATGTGGAGGGGGGAGGGGCTGCTGTGGCAGCTGCAGGAGCCGACCTTGTTCTTCTCATGCCGGCATCCCTGCTTGCAGCTGTGAAGGTGGCAGGAATCAGCGAGGTGACCTGTGCTGTGTCCCGGGAGTGGTAAGAGGTGGCAGGAAGGGGATCTGAGGAGGAGAACAGGGGTCCTGGTGGTCTGTGCTTCTTCCCAGACACGGGAGCTGTAGAGGGGACCTCTGCAGCAGATGCTAGGGGGGCCAGTAGGCCCAGGGAGTCTTGGGACTTGGGTCTGTCCTGCTGTGCATCCATAGTGGGTGCTTTAGAAACGGGAGGCCCACCCGAAGCCCCTGTTGCAAGTGAGGACAAAGTGTGGGAAGGCCGTGAGGGTCTGCAGTCCGAGATGGCCTTGTCCTCAACGTGCAGTGCAGTGTTGATGTGGGGCCTAGAGGCCTGGGATCTGGGGGAGCCACCCCTGGGGGCAAGTGTCTGCCCTGGTGCTGTACCTGCCTTGTTTTCACAGCGGTGACCCGAAGAGACAGCCTGAGGTCCGTCCTCACTCACTGTGTTTGAGGAACTGAGGGCCAGCTGGCAGTGGGATGAGGCTGGCCCCCTCCTCCGCTTTACTTCCTGGAGGCCTTCCGTAGAGCTGTGGGAGCTGGAGCTGGCATTTCGTTTGAGGCAGGATCTGGTCCGGGAGGTCTGGGATCTCTGGTTATATCTCACTTCTGACCTCTGGGCACGTGCTGCAGCTGTGGCTGAGGCCAAGAAATGTGAGGGGCCTCCATCCACTGCATTGAGTAGTGACCCCGACGTGGGGTTCAATGTGGAGGGGGGAGGGGCTGCTGCGGCAGCTGCAGGAGCCGACCTTGTTCTTCTCATGCCGGCATCCCTGCTTGCAGCTGTGAAGGGGGCAGGAATCATCGAGGTGACCTGGGCTGAGTCCCGGGAGTGGGAAGAGTTGGCAGGAAGGGGATCTGAGGAGGAGAACAGGGGTCCTGGTGGTCTGTGCTTCTTCCCAGACACGGGAGCTGTAGCGGGGACCTCTGCAGCAGATGCTAGGGGGGCCACTAGGCCCAGGCAGTCTTGGGACTTGGGTCTGTCCTGCTGTGCATCCATAGTGGGTGCTTTAGAAACGGGAGGCCCACCCGAAGCCCCTGTTGCAAGTGAGGACAAAGTGTGGGAAGGCCGTGAGGGTCTGCAGTCCGGGATGGCCTTGTCCTCAACGTGCAGTGCACTGTTGATGCGCTGGAATGCCGTCTCTTTTTCCAGGTGCAGGTCTTCAGCCGTGACCCGGTACCCCAGCTCTAAGGGAGGTGGCAGCATCAAAGGCTCCCCTCGCCTGCGTGGCAGCAGGGGAATCTTGCGTCTACGGGGCCTAGAGTCCTGGGATCTGGGGGAGCCACCCGTTGGGGCGATTGTCTGCCCTGGTGCTGTATCTGCCCCCTTTTCACACCGTGTGTGACCCAAAGAGACAGCCTGAGGCCTGTCCTCACTCACTGTCTTTGAGTAACTGAGGGTCAGCTGGCAGCGGGATGAGGCTGGCCCCCTCCTCTGCTTTAGCCCCGGCAAGCCTCCCGTGGAGCTGTAGGAGCTGGAGATGGCATTTCGTTTGGTGCTCGAGCTCGTCCAGGATGTCTGGGATGTGTGGTTATATCTGATTTCTGAGCTCTGGGCGTGGAGGTCTGTCTGCAGAGGCCCGGGCCTGGGCACAAAGGGAGAGGGGCCTCCATTGTCCCGCAGGGGCCAAAATGCAGACCGTGCATCCCCGGTGACCTCGGGGACCGTTCTCTGATCATCAGGATTTTCTTGGACTCTGGGGTCCTTGTGCTGCTCAGGCATCCCTGCCCCGCTCTCCTTGAGGGCCCTCAACACTATCTTCCCTGGACACAAGTCTGGGGACAGCCGGGTGTTGTGGACCCCAAAGGGGTGACTACCTGCTCCTGGGCCCCACAGAGTCCTTGTGCTCAGTGTAGTGGCTGAGCTGGGGGATGCCCTGGAACTCGGAGCACACAGCACTGGCTTACTGTGGTACCTGTGCAGTGAAATTGAAGATAGAATCACCAGGATGGAACACAGGTCTTGCAGGATCACGGAAAACCTTCTTAGAGTTGTCTTGACACCACTGATGTCGAGTGTGCGGGTGTTTGTAGGATGGCCTGCCACTCAGTCCAGGGGCAGGAGCAACGGGGAGATCCCACAAGCAAAGTGAACTGGGGGATGGGCTGAAGGGGCTCCAGGCAACTGAGCCCTACTCGCAGGTCCTCGGCCTTGGCCCAAACAGGAATGAGGGGCACAGAGTGCCCGGGTAACCGCTCCTGGGAGCAGTGGGGAACTGTCGGATACTTGAACTCTCAAGAGCTGGGCTCTGAGCGTCCTCATCCAGCTGCCAACTTGGCCAAAGGCTAAGCCAGCAGATTGTTCTGTTGCCGGGCAACGCGACTTCTAAACCTGAGGGAGTGGGCATGTGAGCACATAATGGCACCAGTGACAGAGCGACCATAATGGATGAATAAGCACAGCCAGGTACCCGCGCAAGGCACCTGCTGGCAATGGCAGGAGGCGGACGTGGGGGGTCGTGCAGTAGGTACTGGAGGGAGAGACGTGGGCACAAAGGTCGCGGGAGGAACAGGTGCCCACAATGGCTGCATATTTGCCCGTGGATCACTGAAGATTCCTGCTCTCCTGCTGAGGTGGAGACTGCAGTGAGCTGAGATCGCACCATTGCACTCCAGCCTGGGCAACGAGTGCAAAACTCAGTCTCCAGATAAAAAAAAGAAAAAGAAAAAAAAGAGGCCGGGTGTGGTGGCTTATGCCTATGATCCTAGCACTTTGGGAGGTCGGGGTGGACGGATCACGAGATCAGGAGTTGGAGGCCAGCCTGGCCAACATAGTGAAAGCCCGTCTCTAGTAAAAATACAAAATTTAGTCAGACATGGTGGGCAGGAGAGAGCATGTGCAGGGGAACATCCATTTATAAAACCATCAGACCTCATGAGACTTATTCACTACCATGAGAACAGCATGGGGGAAACTGCCTCCATGATTCAGTTATCTCCACCTGGCCCCACCCTTGACACATGGGAATTGTTACAATTCAAGATGAGATTTGGGTGCGGACAGAGCCAAACCATATAATTCTTCCCCGGCCCCTCCCAAATCTCATGTCCTCATATTTCAAAAGCAATCGTGCCTTCCCCTAAGTCCCCCAAACTCTTATTTCAGCATTAACTCAAAATTCCATAGTCCAAAGTCTCATCTGAGACAAGGCAAGTCCCTTCCACCTATGAGCCTGTAAAATCAAAAGCAAGTTAGTTATTTTCTAGATACACAGGGATACAGGCATTGGGTAAATACACTCGTTTCAAATGGGAGAAATTGGCCAAAGCAAAAGAGCTACAGGCCCCATGCAAGTCCAAAACCCAGCAGGCAAATCTTAAAGCTCCAAAATGACCTCCTTTGACTCCATGTGTCACATCTAGGTGATGCAAGAAGTGGGTTCCCAGGGTCTTGGGCAGCCCCGCCCCTGTGGCTTTGCAGGGTACAGCCCCCCTTCTGGCTGCATTGAGTGTCTGCAGCTTTTCCAGGCACACAGTGCAAGCTGTCAGTGGATCTACCATTCTGGGGTCTGGAGGATGGTGGCCCTTTTCTCACAGCTCTGCTTGGCAGTACCCCAGTGGGGACTCTGTGTGGGAGCTCCAACCCCATATTTCCCTTTGACACTGCCCTAGCAGAGGTTATCCATGAGGGCCCCCCCCTCCCCTCCCCCCCACAGCAAACTTTTGCCTGGATTTCCAGGCATTTTCATACATCTTCTGAAATGTAGGCGGAGGTTCATGAACGTTAATTCTTGACTTTGGTGCATCTGCAGGCTTAACACCACCTAGAACCTGAAAGGCTTGGAACTTGCACCCTCTGAAGCCATGGCCTGAGGTGTACCTTGGCCCCTTTTACCTATGGCAGGAGCAGCTGGGATGCAGGGCCCCAAGTTCCTAGGCTGCACACAGCAGGGGGTTCTGGACCCACAAAACCATTTTTCCTTCTAAGCCTCCTGGCCTGTGATGGGAGGGTCTGCTGTGAGGGTCTCTAACATGCCCTGGAGACATTTGCCCCATTGTCTTGGTGATTAACATTTGGCTCCTCATTACTTATGCAAATTTCTACAACCCAGTCTCCTGAGAAAATAGATTTTTCTTTTCTGTTGCATCATCAGGCTACAAATTTTCTGAACTTTTATGCTCTGCTTCTTCTCGAATGCTTTGCTGCTTAGAAATTTCTTCTGTCAGATACCTTAAATCATCTCTCTCAAGTTCAAAGTTCCACAGATCTGTAGGGAACTCTAGAAAGAAATTCTTATTTTCCCTCTTTCCCGCCTATCTTATGCCCGTTTCTAATACAGGTGCACAATGCCTGCAGTGTCTTTGCATAGTAAGAGTGACTTTACTCCATTTCCCAACAAATTC